>NC_000012.12:112005582-112157097 GCF_000001405.40 Homo sapiens
CAGGCACTGAGGCTCATACCTGTAATCCCGACACTTTGAGAGGCTGAGGTAAGACGATCACTTGAGGCCAGGAGTTTAAGAAAAAAGAAACCTGGGAGAGAAAACTAATAAAAGGAAGAACAAAATGTAGAGTGGGTAGAAAAAGTTAAATGTTGAGAGAGAATACAGAGATGTGTGGAAAGAATAGGTAACAGAAGAGACAAATACTAGAGTTCACTGATAGGTAGAAAGAGGAAAGATAGACTAGTAAAACAGAGAAACTGAAGAAAAGTTAGTAGTATGAAAAGAGATTGTGAGTGAAAAATGCAGAACAGGAAAGAAGAAAGGGAAAATACAAAGGAAGACAGGGAGAGCTTCTGACCTTACCAAGTCCCAACTGTCCTCCAGAATGCTAGCGTCTAGTGGAAAGGTCATAGGGACTTCAGTCCCAGCTACCCTTGAGCAGCCGATCCTTCCTAGTCAGGTTCTGAATCCTGAAGCAGTGAACAGGTGGCTCCACCCCTATCCCAGCTGGGCTCCTCCTATACTGAATCCTGCTCTGTACCTTGAGGGCAAGGAGAGAGGTAGTGACAAGCGGAGGAGAAAGCCAAGCAGAAAGAACAAAAACAGAAAGACCAGGTAACAGGGAAACAAAGTGGTAAGTGGCATTAGGAATTAAAAGGAGCAAGAGGCAGGAGTAATAAAAAGCAGACAGATACAGAAGGGGCAGGATTGAGAAAAAAAGATGAGTCATAGTGAAAAGATAAATAGAGCTGCAATAGAGAAATGGAACTAAAAAAAGGGGTGGGCGGAGAAATAAATGGGATAGAAAGGAGGTCTCCCTAAAATTTGCCCTTGTTTAGAGACAGAAGCCTGTGATGGAAAAGAGAGATTGCATATTCACTCAGTTAATAAAGTTTTAGTAATACTAGTGAAAAGCTGAGGTGGTTATTAATGTTTGTCATAAATTACATTATTCATTAATACACTGATGCTTAAATATCAACTTTGTGCAAAGCAGTGTGTTATGGAAGATATAAAAAGAAATAAGATATAGACCCAGCCTTCTGACAGCTTATAATATAGTAGGAAAAATGGCCTGAATACCAAAAATTCAAATGATTTGCGCACAGCAAGAATATACCTACACAGAGTAGCATTCAAAGAAGATTTGGAAGAACTGATAAAATTTGGACAGACTGGAGGAAAAAAGAGAGCAGAAGGAAGACCATTCATTTATGTAATTTATCTTTCATCTAGCCATAATTTCATATAGTCTACAAATCCTTATTGATAACAAATTAAATCACTTGCGTCGCTAGAGTAATTTAAATACATGACTAATTTATTCATATCAGGTTAAAATTACAGTCCAAAACAAAACAAAACAAAAAACAGCCAGATGCAATGTCATGCACCTGTGGTCCTGGCTACTTGGGAGGTGGAGGCAGAAGGGTCTCTTGAGGCCAGGAGTTTGAGGCTGCAGTGTGCTATGACTGTTCCTGTGAATAGCCATTGCACTCCATCCTGGGCAGCATAGCAAAACACCATTTCTAAAACAAAATAAAACACGGCCAGTGTGCTGGCCCACGCCTGTAATCCCAGCACTTTGGGAGGCCAAGTCAGGTGGATCACTTGAGGTCAGGAATTTGAGACCAGCCTGGCCAACATGGCAAAACCTTTCTCTACTAAAAATACAAATATAAGCCAGGCGGGGTGGCATGCGCCTGTAATCCCAGCTACTCGGGAGGCTGATGCATGAGAATCACTTGAACCCAGGAGGCGGAGGTTGCAATGAGCTGAGATCATGACACTGCACTCCAGCCTGGATGACAGAGCGAGACTCCATCTCAAAACAAATAAATAAATAAAAATAAAACAAAACAGAAACCAAACCAACCAAACAAAAAGATTATAGTCTATAGCGGAAGACCAGACATTGTTAAATAGAGGTTAAGTTCTAATCACTTTGCTTAAATTGTTAGGTAAATAAATAAAAATACCAGGAAATTTCTAGATCAGAAATCCCCAGCATAACGTCTTAAGAAGTATTTTAAGGCCTCTACTCATACATCTTACCTAATAAAGGTGAGGAGACTACTGACAGTTTCACCAAGTAATAAGAAAATGCTTTTAGACAAAGGACTGTTGTTTCAGTCAAGAACAAATCTCATGTTGCTCAGAGAACAGCCATGCCAAATTAGTCTGCTGCTCTTGCTAGGATAATCAATGATGAATAACTTTTCTCTTTGGTGTTCTCTTCTAAAACATCTATACCATCTACCAACATTTGGGAATTTACTTTTCAGTTTTTCTATCAAAATTAATCCCCTGCTTGCTGTATATTCAGCACTTTGTCCCTTTGAAGTATCTTTGGAAACATAATCTTGCCATCTTCCTTTTCTAAAAGGGCTAGTCCAAGCTCAAATGATGAAGTAGGTGATATTTATTTTCAGTTTTCCTTTATCTCTTTTTAGCAAAAAGCTCCTTGCATGCCTGTGGTCCCAGCTACTCAGCAGGCTGCGGCAGGAGGATCTCTTGAGGCTGAGGTCCAGGCTGCAGTGAGCTGTGTTTGCATCACTGCACTCACGCTCCAGCCTGAGCGACAGAGTGAAACCCTGTGTTAAAAAGAAAAAAAAGGCTGGGCGCGGTGGCTCACACCTGTAATCCCAACACTTTCGGAGGCCGAGGCGTGTGGATCACAAGGTCAGGAGTTGGAGACCAGCCTGGCCAAGATGGTGAAACCCCGCCTCTACTAAAAATACAAAAATTAGCTGGGTATGGTGGCGGGCGCCTGTAATCCCAGCTACTCGGGAGGCTGAGACAGAGAATTGCTTGAACCCGGGAGGCGGAAGTTGTAGTGAGCCAAGATCATGCCACTGCACTCCAGCCTGGATGACAGAGCAAGACTCCACCTCAAAAAAAAAAAAACCTCCTTAGCAAGTTCAAACCTATCCCAGTTCTTAACTTATTGGGCTACTGTATATTATATATCAATTCAAGTTAACACATATTCATAAAATTGCTATCATGAGCAAGTTACTCAAAGTCAGGAAAGACACTTGCCTTTGTAAAATATTTTTATTTAACCAAAAAGTTTTCTAAAAATAACATTTAAAGATTTCTAAGGCCAGGCACGGTGGAGTACGCCTGTAATCCCAGCACTTTGGGAGGCCAAGGTGGGTGGATCACCTGAGGTCAGGAACTTGAGACTAGCCTGACCAACATGGTGAAATCCTCTCTCTACTAAATACAAATAAATACATAGCCAGGCATGGTGGTGGGTGCCTGTAATGCCAGCTATTCAGGAGGCTGAGGCAGGAGAATTGCTTGAACCCAGGAGGTGGAGGTTGCAGTGAGCCAAGATCGCACCATTGCACTCCAGCCTGGGCAACAAGAGCGAAACTCCATTTCAAAAAAAAAAAAAAAAGATTTCTAGTAATAACAGTTACCAATTATGAAGTGCTTTTGAATTGTATCTTAGTAAAATTACTGCCAATAAAATGAAGTTTGGAACAAAAGCAAGGAAGGAAATGCCCAGTGCTAGAATTCACGGTGTAATGATTAATGGATGTTTCTGTCTGACTAAAAAGGATAATACTCACAATATAAAGTATAAAACAAACATTGTAAGAAGGAACTGAAGATAAAGATTGTAAGAGAGCACCTGACTACTCTAAATAAATCCACCACTCCTGGCCTGAACAAATTACCCTCCAGAATTTTGATAAAACTTGCCAGTTAACCCAATAAACCATTTGAGAAAAATTTGAGAGTTCATGTAAAAATGGGAAACTTGCTAGAAACCTGGTAATAACTAAATTAAAGGCAAAAAGATGTGAAATCTGCAAACCAAACCATATGTCAAGGATCTTAGTATTGATCCCAAATAAGATTCTAGAATGAATTGTCCAAAAGATGTGTTTGCAAACAATTAGAAAAAAAGTAACTGCTAAATCAGCATGGGTTTACTTAAAAAAAAAAAAAAAAAAAATGCTGGGTGCAGTGGGTCACGCCTGTAATCCCAGCACTTTGGGAGGCCAAGGCAGGTGGATCATTTGAGGTCAGGAGTTCAAGATGAGCCTGGCCAACATGGTGAAACCCCATCTCTACTAAAAATACAAAAAAAAAAAAATTAGCCAGGTGTGGTGGCAGACGTCTGTAATCCCAGCTACTCAGGAGGCTGAGGTAGGAAAATCACTTGAACGCAGGAGGTGGAGGTTGCAGTGAGCTGAGATCAGGCCTCTGAACTCCAGCCTGAGTGACCAAGTGACTCTGTCTCAAAAAAAAAAAAAACAAAACAAAACCTACTTCTAAACTAACCATGACTAGAAAGTCACTGCTGATCAATTCTACTAACTAGGTATAACCGAAGTTATTTATACTGAGAAGTGAATAATTTTAGAAGTTTAAATGTTTTATAAAGAAATTTTAAAACTCTTAATAGCTCCATATAGACTACAGAACAGAAAATTCTTAGTTTGACTTCAAGACTCCCTCCTATCTGAGCTTAAAACTGTTTTACTATCTCCTGTTTGGAGAACTCCCTTCAACCAAGCCAGTCATTCTCCCAAAGCATCATGTTCATTCCCGTATCTGCTCCTTTTCCACTTGTTCTCTATCTAAAATGTTCCTCCTTCCAAGGCTTAACTCTATTTCCACCAGTTACATAAAGCCTTGTTTCACCACCTCAGTTCATAGTTTTCCCTTCTTCTAATTTCTATCACTTGTCTTGTAGCTCATAGTGTTACGGGGTCTTTGGGGTGTCCATTTTCTGGCCAGAAACCTCTGTGGCCACAGTGCCTTTACCCGAGTTCTTGTCCTGCATCCAGGAAAAGAATGAGGTACGTGGACAATGAAGGGTGAACAAGACAAAGATGAACTTTATTGAGTGTTACAACAGCTCAGAGACCTCCAGTGGGTATTTCCTCTCTGTAGGCAGGTTGTCCATCAGGTATTCAGTTCTCAGTAGAGAGGAGGCCCTGGAGAGGATGGCTCCTCTCTGCAACTGATCGTCCTAATGTCTGCAGCTCTCAGAAGAGAGGAGGCCCTGGAGAGGGTGGCTCTTCTCTGCCCACAGGTTGTCTCTGCAGCTGTCAGCAGGGAGGGTAGGTCCTTTTTGCAACTGGCTGTTCCATCATCTCCAACTATCAGCAGAGAGGGTAGCTCCTCTCTTAGGCTTGTTGACCCATAGGTCTCTGCCCTCTTGGTCCTCTGGCAGTCCTCTGCCCTACTCTGGCTGAACCCAGGGTTTTTATGGACCTCCGAGGGGAGGAAGTACATGCCGATTGGTCCATGGGCAGGCCAGAAGATGCACCACGAGTCCCTACTCCAGTCTGCAGGACTGGCAGCCTGGACCCCTGTCTTCAGGCCCTCCCTGACCTGAAGGTGGGGTCTTACTGGGGACTCACCCACTTCTACCCTGGAATCAATCTGCCTCCCATTGCCATTCTTGGCCCCAAGCCCGCTCTGAGATTGGAGCAGGCCCCGGGAGTAGAGAGAGTCCAGGCGGTGGGAACAGACACTCCTGAGCCTGCAGGGATTGCAGTAGGGTGTCTTGCTGGTCCCCCAAGGGTGCAGGCTGCAGAGATGCCCAGGTCCTGCACCTGGGAGGGCAGCCACAATGGCACCAGGGGCTCCTGCCTCAACTCAGAAGGGGCGGGGCTCCCACAGGCTCCATGGAGTGTGCAGCCCCAGTCACACCTCCCTGCTGCAGCTGGCTGCCATCAATAGGGCAAACTCAAAATTTTTCTTAACTTCCCCAGACACATTCACACATACACACACACAAACACACACACACTTTCTTTCAAAATTTATATCCAATCAAACTGGTTGTCCATGATTGGATCCTGTTATCACTGTTGACTATTTATACACATACATTTTGGAAACATACAATGGTTAATTATAGCAGTAAGTCCCTTACAATGCATTGTATATGTTCTCTTACATGCATTTGTTCATCAAATCTTGTGAATTCTACCCTTTAAAAGTTTGTCAATTCCATCCATACTTCTTCAGCCCTATTATGTCCTACTGCATGACCTTAACCTCTTCCAACTAGACTATTGCCATACCCCATTAATTGGCTTTAGTCCCGTCTTCTCAATTCCAATCCATTTCCTTCATTCCTGAGTAATGTTGTTTTTGTTTTGAGACAGTCTTCTCTGTTGCCCAGACTGGAGTGCAGTGGCAGCAATCAGGGCTGACTGCAGCCTCGACCCCTCAGGTCCAAGTGATCCTGCTGCCTCAGCCTCCCAAGTACCTGGGACCACAGGCATGCACTACCACACATGGCTAATTTTTCTACTTATTGTAGAGACGAGGTTTCATTACGTTGCCCAGGCTGACCTGGGTGCTGTTTCTACACACAAATCTAACCTCACTCTCCTAGTTAAAACTTCTGGTGACTCCAAACCCTTTAGCTTGGTGAGACCCTTTCGAATCCGCCCCATGGAAGCTCAGTAATAATCAATCAAAATAAAAAAGAGCGGCAGCAGCTGTTGCGCCAGTTCGCCTTTACATAGATTCATCTCAACCAGTTCCCCAACATGCCTGTGCATAATTTTCCCATTGTTAGAAATGCCCTGTTTCTCTTTGCCTCATGCACGCCCCCTCTTATTTCAAGGTCCAGCTCAAAAGTCACCTCCTGTCTACAACTTCCTCTGATGCTCCTGAGCAGGGATGGCTGAATCTCTGTCTCTTTACAATAAGAAAATACGGTCTTTTTTTTTCTTTTTGAGACTGAGTCTCGCTCTGTCACCTAGGCTGAAGTGCAATGGCGAAATCTCGGCTCACCCCAACTTCCGCCTCCTGGGTTCATGCAATTCTCCTGCCTCAGCCTCTTGAGTAGCTGGGATTACAGGCACGCACCACCACACTCGCCTGATTTTTAGTAGAAACGGGGTTTCACCATGTTGGCCAGGCTGGTCTCGAACTCCTGACCTCAGGTAATCCACCTGCCTCGGCCTCCCAAAGTGCTGGGATTACAGACGTGAGTCAACGCGCCCAGCCGGAATAATATTTTACAGCAATTACACTGCACTGTTTAGATCATTATTCCTATGCCGCCTCCTCCCCCAACAAAGTGCGTGCCTTCAGCACACAACGGTCTTGTTTCTGCTTATTCCGTAGCCCCGCAGGCAAAGCCAGAGTCTGGCACAAGCCAGGGACCGAGTGACTACCTGCGGAACAGAATGATTAGAATTGCGTCTGGGGTTCCTGGAGGGTGGGCCTTGGCTGGGCGGATCCCAGGAGCCTGGCGTCTCCCAGGGGAGGCGCTCACCTCAGATCGGGCCTAAGAGGGCCCTGCTTGCCACACTGACCGCCAAGCCTGGCCAAAAAGCTCAGGGAAGCCGCGGAGCCACTGCCCGCCTGGGTCAGGGTGGTGACGGAGCCTGACTGAGAATAACGGCTGAACTTGACTAATAGACTGACCGAGGGTTGGAGCGGGTCCCAACCAACTGCCTGACGGCCCAAAGGCAGGAAGAAACGATGGTAGGCCTTGTCATCTTCGAAGGAGAGGAAGGACAGCAAACGAATTGCTATAGCGTCCCCATGCGCACTTGGCGCTTCTCCTCAAGCGGAGCAGGAACGGAACTGGGCGGACCCGCCGGAAGACTCGGCGAGTGCGCGCGCGCAGGAGCCCATTTTCCCGCCCGCAACGTGGCCCCGCCCTTTTACCCAGGCCCTACGCGAGCTTCGCCGAGTACGCGTGCGCAGCAGCTTCCCCTCCCTCGCCCCGCCCCTCACGTGGCCCCACCCTCTCACCCTAGACAGATGGGAGCCTCCTGGGGTGTCCACGTGAGCGCGCGTGAGTCCGCCCCCCCAGTCACGTGACCGCTGACTCGGGGCGTTCTCCACTATCGCTTACCTACCTCCCTCTGCAGGAACCCGGCGATATGGCTGCCGCTGTGCCCCGCGCCGCATTTCTCTCCCCGCTGCTTCCCCTTCTCCTGGGCTTCCTGCTCCTCTCCGCTCCGCATGGCGGCAGCGGCCTGCACACCAAGGGCGCCCTTCCCCTGGATACGGTCACTTTCTACAAGGTAACCGGGGCGGGGGACGTCGCGCGCAGGTGCCGCCGGGGCGCCCGGAAGAGCGCGCGCCCGTGGGGAGACGCTGGATTCCGGGAGCTGACGGGAGGTGGTCTGTAGCAACGGTCCCAGAGCTTCCCGGCGTCCTACAGGCCTAGTGGACTCTGAGCGGAGAATGTTATGACCACCGGGCATGCACGCTTCAGGGCCCCGGCGCACCCTTGCTTTTGCAGCATTTATACTTGCATCCACCCTTGCAAAGATGCAGCCGAGGGAACTGGGTGCCCCTTCCCTTCACCTGTGGGGAGAGGGCGGTGCCTGGCGAGATCCAACCCTCGAGTCCCAAGTGGGAGAACCGGAGGGCGGTGCGAGGTCGACGCCACCGGGCTCCCGGCTGTGGAAGCTGGGAGGGGTTGGCGGGGGGAAATGCAGGCGCGTTAGCCTGCGTGTCCGCGCCCCTCTTCCCAGGGTTGGATTGCAGCCTGCTTTGCAGTGTGCAAACAATGATCAGATATCATACATCTTGAATAGTGCAAGCGTGAAGAATAAGCTTCAGTTCAGCCACCCTGTAAAGCAGGGGTCCCCAACCACCAGGCCCGTCGGTGGCCTGTTAGAAACCGGGCCGCACAGCAGGAGGTGAGCGGCAGGCGAGCTAGCACTACAGCCTGAGCTCCGCCTCCTGTTACATCAGCTGCGGCATTACATTCTCATAGGAGCACGACCTTTATTGTGAACTACGCATGTGAGGGATCCAGGTTGTGTGCTTCTTATCAGAATCTAATGCCTGATGATCTGAGGCGAAACAGGTTCATGTCGAAACCACCCAACCCCGTGGAAAAGTTGTCTTCCATGAAACCAGTTCTTGGTGCCAAAAAGGTTGGGGATAGCTGTTGTAGGAAACATCTTGGGGTTGGCAACAAAATCAGTAAAATTGGGTCAAGGCATGGAAGAATTTGCCACTACCTCCGCCTTTCCCCCCTTCCATTTTTGCAGAATTAGGGATCCTGGCCTGAGTAAATGGACGGTTGGAAATGGTGGCTGAATGCAACACCGCAGTCCCAGTCCCCTCCTCTTGCACCTGTCTTCACCCACGAGCAGCTTTTAACTTCCTCTAGGAGATGGGCAAGCTTAGTGTTGCGAGAGAGCCAGTCATTTCATTTTCAGGTTTTGTACTCATTGTGGGGAAGTGAAACCAAGAAGTAGTTGTCTCCAGTGGTTGAAGTCTCCTATTTTCAAGCGTTCCCTGTCGTGGATTTGGCACTTGCAGCTCATTCAAGGCAAAGTTTCAAGAATTTAAAAGTGTAGGCCGGGCTTAGTGGCTCACGCCTGTAATCCCAGCACTTTGGGAGGCTGAGGCGGGTAGATCACCTGAGGTCAGGAGTTTGAGACCAGCCTGACCAACAAGGTGAAACCCCGTCCCTACTAAAAATACAAAAATTAGCTGGGCGTGGTGGTGGACACCTGTAGTCCCAGCTCCTCGGGAGGCTTAGACAGGAGAATTGCTTGAACCCAGGAGGCGGAGGTTGCGGTGAGCCAAGATCACGCCACTGCACTCCAGCCTGGGCGACAGAGCAAATACTCCGTCTCAAAAAAAAAAAAAAAAGTGTGGGCTGGGTGCGGTGGCTCATGCTTGTAATCCCGGCACTTTGGGAGGCTGAGGCAGGTAGATCACCTGAGGTCAGGAGTTGGAGACCAGCCTGGCCAACATGGTGAAACCCTGTCTCTACTAAAAATACAAAAATTAGCTGGGCGTGGTGGCGGGTGCCTGTAATCCCAGCTACTCGGGAGGCTGAGGCAGGAGAATTGCTTGAACCTGGGAGGTGGAGGTTGCAGTAAGCCGTCATCATGCCATGACACTCCAGCCTGGGCAACAAGAGCAAAACTCTGTCTCAAAAAAAAAAAAAATGGTGTAGGTGTGGCTGATTGGTTGTCAGGCATGCTCAGACACACCCTACAGCACCCTATGCTTTGGGGGCCTTTACTGGCAAAATGACACCCCTACCCCACCCTGCTCCATGGGAATCAGATAATATCACAGAACAAGTGTGACCCAAAGGGAAACTTTGCGCCATAAAGCTAACAGTGTTTTCTACTATTACCACCCTAGTCTAGGTCAACATTACAATAGCCTCTTCTCTGGTCTCCCTGCTTCCACTCTTGAGTCTCCACACAGTAGCCTAAGTTCTATATGACCTGACTCCTGGCTTCCCTCTCATCTCCCAACCATTCTCCTACTGTCTTTTGAATATTCCTTGCTCTTTACTGCCTTAGGATATGTTGCACTAGTTGTTCCTTGTGACTGGAATATTCTCTGCCCAAACTTTGAAAGGCTAGTTAGTTACTTCTCATCATTCGGGCTTAGGTTAAGTGTTTCCTCCTTAGAGTTCTTCCTTGATTTATCTTCCCCCCAGTCTAAAGTGCCAGTCACATTAATCTGTTTTATTTCTCCATACAGCACTCATCACTGATTTTTTAAAAATCTATTTTGCCATCTTTCTCTCTCACTGGAATATTATGTGCTCATGAAGAAGCTCCTTGTCTATTTTGTTCCTGATCGTCTGCGCTGCATAACAGATTACCTGTCTCATAGAAGGTGCACAATAACTATTTTGTTGCGTGAATGAACAAACGTTTTCTCCAGTCTCTTTTCAAATCTTCTCTTCCATCACGACTGAACCAAAAGGAAATGTACTAGTGTTCTGTCTGGCAGCCTTGTTCCATGCTTTGCCTTTCAGTGATTTCCAGTATCTTTTTTGTTGTTGTTTCTTTCCCTTCACCATCACTAGAATGTTAGTTTCATGAGCTAAGAGATGCCATTTTGTTCCCTGCTGTGTTCACTTAGTATGGTGCCTGGCAGGCCTTTAGTAACTTTTTACTCAATGAACGAATGAATGAATAATGAACTTATCTATACTTTAAAGAAGTGAGTTGCCTGATTATAGGTAATGGTAGAGCTGATTCCCACTAGCCCATTGGACACCAAGGGCTGGTAGGAAGTAGATGAGGAAAATAGACTTCTAAAGCTATCATTAAGAGATAACAGACCACTTCGGGAGGCCGAGGCAGGTGGATCACAAGTTCAGGAGATCGAGGTCATCCTGGCTAACACGGTGAAACCCTGTCTCTACTAAAAATACAAAAAAATTAGCCGGACGTGGTGGCGGGCACCTGTAGTCCCAGCTACTTGGGAGGCTGAGGCAGGAGAATGGCGTGAACACGGGAGGCGGAGCTGCAGAGAGCTGAGATGGCACCACTGCACTCCAGCCCGGGCAACAGAGCGAGACCCTGCCTCAAAAAAAAAATAAAAAATAACAGACTAAGATAACAAGAGAAAATTCTTTATGCAAATGTTTGCCATTCAAAACCATTCTGCCTTACCCTTGAAACTAAGAATGGTGAAAGTAGAAGGTGGAGATCTCTGAATTCTATTTTAATGTTAGACCACTGTATAATTATTAATATTATTCCATAATACAAGTGCAGGCCCTTGAAAGTAGGTATCCCGTGTTTTGCTTTTTAAACATTCTCCCCTTCCCCAACATGTAGCATCTGCTACAAAGCCTGTCAGAGTATTGTTCATTCATCAGATATTTTCAGAACATCTGCCACATTCCAGGCACTGTTGAGCACTAGGGATACAGCAGAAAACAGGTCAGACAAGGTCCTTATTCTCATAAATGTATTCTAGTGGAAAGGATGGAAAACAAGCAAATAAGGATTTCAGAGAGTGAGTAATGCACTGAAGAAAATACAGCAGGGTAATGATAGCAGGGTATGATGAAAATGAAGCCATATTAGATGGTCTGATTGGAGGAGTCCCCAGTAGCAGGGGACATTTGAACTGAGCCTTGAACGATAAAGAGATAACCATGAAAAGAACTGGGGAAAGGACATTCCAGCCAGCAGAGAGCAAATGAAAAAGCTCTTGAGTGGGAATAAGTTTCATGTGCTGAAGTGAAATAAGGCCAGTTGGGCCAGAGGGATGTGATCTTATTTGTATTTTAAGTCTTTCCTGCTTTTAGGCCCCCAGAGCTCAGGCTTTTTGGCATTTAAAGATGACTTGTTCTGGTGTCTTCTCCTCCCTCCTTTGTGTCCCTAAACAGTGTTAAATATTTTTAAAAACCAAGAGGACATCAGTACACTGTAAAGGACAAAGACTAACAAGAACATTGTATCTTTTTTTTTCTTTTTTTTTTTTTTTTTTGAGGTGGAGTTTCATTCTTTTCGCCCAGGCTGGAGTGCAGTGGCGCGATCTCGGCTCACCGCAACCTCCGCCTCCCAGGTTCAAGCAATTCTCCTGCCTCAGCCTCCCGAGTAGATGGGATTACAGGCGCCCACCACAACGCCCAGCTAATTTTTGTATTTTTAGTAGAGATAGGGTTTCACCACGTTGGCCAGGCTGGTCTTCAACTCCTGACCTCAGGTGATCCACCCATCTCAGCCTCCCAGAGTGCTGGGATTACAGGCATGAACCACTGTGCCCAGTCCAGAACATTGTATCTTTGCCTTCAGCCAGAATTATGTCAGCTTGACATAATTTTTTTTTTCTTTTTAGAGAGAGAGAGAGAGATGGGGTCTCACTCTGTTACACAGGTTGGATTGCAGTGGTGCAATCATAGCTCACTATAACCTCTAACTCCTAGGCACAAGTGATTTTCCACCTCAGCCTCCTGAGTAGTTTAGCTGGGAATACAGGTGTGTGCCACCATGACTGGCTAATTTTTTTTTTTTAAGCCAGCTATGTTGCCCAGGCTGGTCTTGAACTTCTAGCCTCACGTGATCCTCCCACTTCAGCCCCGCAAAGTGTTGAGATTACAGGTGTGAGCCACCATGCTCAGCCTTGACATGATTATTTACAGTGATTGCCTGTGATGAAAAAACTTGATAGGGATCACTTGGATTAGGAAAACAAAAAGTTGATGGAAGTGAGGAAGGCAGTGTTACCCTAAGGTGGCTTGTTAGATAAAACTTGTGCATTGGGAGAAACCATCAAAAGAAGTCCTTGGCTTCTTCAGTAAGTTAAATGTAGACTTAGCATATGACCACCACAGTTCCACTTGTATATATACCCAAAAGAGTGGAATACAGGTGTTCAAACAAAATGTGTTATGTGAATGTTCATAGCAGCACTATTGACAGTAGCCAAAAGGTGGAAACAACCCAAACATTCAGCTGATGAGTGAATAAACAAAAATGTGGTCTATCGTACAGTGTAATATTTATTTGGCCATAAAAAGTAACAGTGTGCCAATACATGGTACAACATGGACAAACCTTGAAAACATGCTAAGTGAAAAAAGCCAGACACAAAAGGGCACATATTGTACATTTCCATCAGAATAGACAAATCTATAGAGACAGAAAATAGATGAGTGGTTGCTGGGGCTGGGAGGAGGAAGACTGGGGAGTGACTGCGTAATGAGTATAGGGTTTCCTTTTGGGATGATGAAAATGTTCTGGCACTAGATAGTAACCTCTATGGTTGCACATTCTTAATGCACTGAATCATGCAGAATGTACACTTTTAAATGGTTACAATGGCAAATATTATGTGAATTTTACTGCAATTAAAAGTCTTGGCCCTGACAGTTTAAAACCCAGAGATCTAGCCAGAGGGAAGTGTAGTCTAGGGAGAAGACATTGTCCCAAGCCTGGCCTCTCACTAGCTTATCTGCCCTGAAATTGCTGGGTTCAAACTCTGGCCTATCTAGCCAAAGCGTCCTCCATGATGCCAACTCCTTTGTAGGTAGGTTTGTTTATTTTTGTCAGATTTCTTGTTCAGGGTTTACTGCGAAAGGCCTCCTGGGATGATGAGCATGACAGGGGCTGATGTAGTATGCAGAGGGTCTCCTTCACCTAACTGAAAGGAACCCTGAAGGAGAAGGCCTTAGTATGTCTGCAGCCTTGTTTATTCTGGACAGGGTTGTGTATATCTTTGATTAGTGTGAACAGGTACTAATGGGGTGCCCTGCATGTTGCTGGCACTCACTAAATTGTTAAATGAGTCAGTGGGTGAATGAATAAATATTAGTTTGTGAGAGCTTGCCTCCCTTGTGGGCTTGTTTCCACTCTATTTCTTAAACAGGGGCCCCTTGGGAAGGGGAATTAGCCCCAAAAGTCCCTGGAACACCCACTTGCTCAGCTCTATACGCCCTCAGGTCATTCCCAAAAGCAAGTTCGTCTTGGTGAAGTTCGACACCCAGTACCCCTACGGTGAGAAGCAGGATGAGTTCAAGCGTCTTGCTGAAAACTCGGCTTCCAGCGATGATCTCTTGGTGGCAGAGGTGGGGATCTCAGGTATGGACAAGTCCAGGACGGCTGGGGGGGCAGAGAGGGAGGAAGCTAGAAATCGTTTCCCTACTTGGAACAGGAATACCCAGCATCTTTCCTTCTGAGCCACTCTCAAGGAGTGTAAGTAAACAGGTTCATGGTCTCTAAAGGAATCTGCTGCCCACAGTAGGCTTAACCTGAGCAGATTTTGGGACCATGGAATCTAAGCTCAGCTGTACAGGTGCCTGAAGGGAAGGGAACCCCTCTTCCTTCACATTCCACCCCTCTCTGACATTAAACTGTGAGAACTTTGAGCTCTCCTTGCAGGGAACACTGGGCAGAGGGGGTGCTATGTCCCCTAGGGGACAGCATAGTCAGTTCTTCTGTCTTCATTTCAGTTTATGTACCAAAACTGTTAGGTTTTGGTGTTAGCTCAAATGCACTGATGCCACCACTAATCCAAGGGCACCTCCCAACCACAGCGACAGCTTTAATAGTCACCAGCATTTAGTGGCTGACAGGGTAAAGATCTGCACCCCCATTGCATTTTAAATCTTCACTTGAACTCTGCCTGAGAAGCAAGATGTATTATCTCCATGTTATACTTCAGGAAAAAAAAAACTGAAGCTCAAAGATTAAAGGACTGTGGGTGATAGAGTGGCTCATCCAGAGCTCCACCTAAGTGTTTAGTCCCAGGCAGGGGCTTACTTATTTCACTTCCCTCCCAGCTTGGATGCCTCCATTCCGTAGTAAGCTGGGAACTTAGTAGAGCGTCTGGTCCTGGGTAGAGATAGCTGGCACACCTCTCCAGGACAGTCAGTCAGATTTGACTCAACTTCAGGTAACTCCCTTGGTGCTTTTATTAGAATAATAATAATAGTTAACATTTATCAGATGTTTACTGCGTGCCAGGCCGCTGTGCTGAGTGTTTTACATGTGTTTCATCTTTGCAAGAGCTCTGTGAAGGAAGTCCCATGTGGTACTATTACCTCCATTTTTTCAAATGAAGAAATGGATGCTTAGAGTAACTTGCTCAAGATTGTGGAATTGTTAAGTGGCAGAACTAGGTTTGGAACCCTAGGCATCCAGTACTACCACTACTAGTAGTTGGTCTTAGCCGTTTCTCGGCAAAGTGTAAGAAACCAGTTGTCACAGCATCAGTCCTTGGGGCTGCTACTGCTCGTTAGGAAGGATGTTGCAGATACTAACAGCAGCTACCACATATTAAGCATATAACCCTGCCAAGTATCACGCACATATTCCCTCATCCGGTCCTCCCAACAGCCCCCATGTGGCAGGGACTGTGTTCCTTCCCTACCACATGCTCCCCTTTCTCACCCAGCTCCAGCCAGACTGGTCTTTGTAATCCTGAAATTTCCTGAGCTTAGCCCTGCCTCAGAGCTTTTGCACTTGCAGTCCTTTCTGCCTGAGACACTCTTCCCAAATCTTCACGTAGCTTGCTCCAGGACATTCAGGTCCTTTAGCTGATGTCACCTTCACAGGGAGGCCTGCCTTGACCACCTGAAGTGGGCTTTCTTACCCACTTTGTCACATCGCGCTGTTTTGTTTTCCCTGTGGCATTCATCACCTGTGTTTATGTGTTTGTTATGTCTCTTCTCTCCCTTAGAAGAATATGAGCTTAATAGTCTTTTTTTTTTTTTTTTTTTTTTTTTTGAGACAAAGTCTCACTCTGTTGCCCAAGCTGGAGTGCGGTGGTGGGATCTCGGATCACTGCAACCTCCACCTCCTGGGTTCAAGCGATTCTTCTGCCTCAGCCTCTTGAGTAGCTGGGACTACAGGCACGCGCCACCATGCCCTGCTAATTTTTTTGTTATTTTTAGCAGAGACAGCGGTTTCACTATGTTGGCCAGGCTGGTCTTGAACTCCTGACCTCGTGATCTGTCCGCCTCGGCCTCCCAAAGTGCTGGGATTACAGGCATGAGCCACCGCACCCGTCCGAGCTTAATACTCTTAATCACAAGTAGACCCCCAGCACCTAGAACAGCATCTGACACATAGTGGGCATATAATAAATATTCAGAAGAATCTCCATTTTTTCAGATGAAGAACAGTTCAGAGAGTTTAAATGATTTGCCTAGTGCTGCATGGCTAGGAAGTGGCAGAGGAGGAATTCAAACACAGGTCTGTATGGTTGCTCCTCACTTTGAACCATTACACGGCCAAGAAAATTCTTCTTTCCCTCAGTTCAGCTAGGTCCCATAGCAATTTTCTGCCCTGAGTTCCTTATGGTCTTGCTTTTTGTGTCTGGTTTCTGCTCACAGATTATGGTGACAAGCTGAACATGGAGCTGAGTGAGAAATACAAGCTGGACAAAGAGAGCTACCCAGTCTTCTACCTCTTCCGGGATGGGGACTTTGAGAACCCAGTCCCATACACTGGGGCAGTTAAGGTTGGAGCCATCCAGCGCTGGCTGAAGGGGCAAGGGGTCTACCTAGGTATGCCTGGTTGCCTGCCTGTATACGACGCCCTGGCCGGGGAGTTCATCAGGGCCTCTGGTGTGGAGGCCCGCCAGGCCCTCTTGAAGCAGGGGCAAGATAACCTCTCAAGTGTGAAGGAGACTCAGAAGAAGTGGGCCGAGCAATACCTGAAGATCATGGGGAAGATCTTAGACCAAGGGGAGGACTTCCCAGCATCAGAGATGACACGGATCGCCAGGCTGATTGAGAAGAACAAGATGAGTGACGGGAAGAAGGAGGAGCTCCAGAAGAGCTTAAACATCCTGACTGCCTTCCAGAAGAAGGGGGCCGAGAAAGAGGAGCTGTAAAAAGGCTGTCTGTGATTTTCCAGGGTTTGGTGGGGGTAGGGAGGGGAGAGTTAACCTGCTGGCTGTGAGTCCCTTGTGGAATATAAGGGGGTAGTGGGAAAAGTGGTACTAACCCACGATTCTGAGCCCTGAGTATGCCTGGACATTGATGCTAACATGACCATGCTTGGGATGTCTCTAGCTGGTCTGGGGATAGCTGGAGCACTTACTCAGGTGGCTGGTGAAATGACACCTCAGAAGGAATGAGTGCTATAGAGAGGAGAGAGGAGTGTACTGCCCAGGTCTTTGACAGATGTAATTCTCATTCAATTAAAGTTTCAGTGTTTTGGTTAAGTGGACCTGAAGCCATTCTTTTTTCTTTTCAAATTATACTTTCGTCTATGACCTGCTTTCCTCTTTGAATCTAAGCTGGTATAGACTCCACTTTCCCAGGGTAACAAACTATCCTCATAACACTGTGGAAACTGGCATACCTTTGTTATTTTCCAGTGATATTCAGACTGACATGGATTGACTGTCAATGGTAAAGTTTGTCTATTTTCCAGTCCTTAAAACTCAATAGCAGTATTGATGAATATATTGAACCAACATTGATGGACCATGGTGTAATTATTTTCCATGCTTTGTGAGGTACACATAGCAAATTCTTAGTTTTACTGATATATTCTGTGACTTGGATTTACACAGCTAAATGATATAGTCCGATTTCAAAATTAAAAAATATTTTCCATCTAAATCACTATCACTAAATAAATACTAACTTCTAGAAAGCAGAATAAAGAGCACTTGTGCCAACATTCACATCTTTTCTTCAGACTCAGAAGCAGTTATCTGCAAAAGTGAGCTTCACGACAGCTCTACTTTCATATTTAACCATTTGAAAATGTCATGAGACCACAGCTCCTGAAATATATCTAATTGCACCCACACAAAGAATGGAGTTGGCAAATAAGACCTTGAATTATTTTCCTCCATTTTATCCAGGTTGGTATATATTTAGTTCCTGGAAACAAAAAATAGAGGAAATTCCATATGTTGAATTGGATGGGACAAAAAATTGTGGTAGCTTAGGCTAACAGTTCAAACCAAGGAGGTAAAAAGTGTTTAAACCTAAACACCCACCTGCTGACAGCTTATGTACTCTACATATAATGAAAGAATATAATAATATTTACTATAATAATTTCTACATTTTTACTTCAGTTCTCACTGAAACTTCTGGAAGATCTTTTTGGATACTTCTAACTGGTAAATTTGCTTTGGCTGTTCTAGTGTGCTCCGTGTAAACGGGATCACTTCCAAAGAGCAAAGTATTCACTGTTTTATGGAAATTAGAATGAGACAACAAATGGCAGGTAGGGAAAGGACTCTAATATTAAATGCATCCAGAGTCCCTGAATGAAGACTAATCTTGATTTTCAATTGTAAGAAGCAGGAAGGTGACAGTACCTCCATGGGCACGGCACTGGATGGGTTCTGGCTGGATATGGTTATTTACAACCCCAGGGCCTTGAGTTGAAGAAACCTGAGCTATTGGGCGGAACTACATTATCATATGTCAGAGGCCCTTTGTTACCCAATAGTTGTTTTCATTAAAGGTGAGCCCTCTTTCTAGAGTCTTAAGTGATTTGCATATGTCACATAAAATACAGTCTTCCCTGACCCAAGTCAAATGGATTCCTTTACCTCTTAGAATTTACTAATATTGTGGCTCAAGTGCTGCTATTCAGATTCTAATGAAGACTATGGACTGGATTCCCAGAATCAATCAAATACTTATAGTTATTTTTTTAAGAGATGGGCATCTTGCTTTGTTGCGCAGGCTAGACTTGAATTCCTGGGCTAAAGCGATCCTCCCGCCTCAGCCTCCTGAGTAGCTGGGGAGTACAGGTGCATGCCGCTGCACCTTGTTAAGTATTTCAATTTTAAGGGAATTTCCTGATAACCTGAAGCAAAGCAGACACTGGATCCAACATGAATTGTGTTTAAGGAACTTGCAAGTTATCTCAAATGGTGCGAAGGGTAATTTACAAATAGTTCTTGGTAATTGGCACCACAAAAAATGTTGGAGTTGGAATATATTAGCAGAGATTATACATAGGGAACTAATCTGGGAATATGAACACGGCCAACAAGACTTAAGAAGGTGAGGGAGATGGTGAGGGGGATCTGGATTTTAGCTCATTTCCTCAATGCTTAAGGGAGTTTGAATCGTTTGCAGGAGAGTTCGATAATTTCAATATTAAACAGTAGTCTTACCTGCAACAACTACTTTTCTCATTTGTAAAATAGTCCAGTATCTGGGCCGGTGCGGTGGCTCATGCCTGTGATCCCACACTTTGGGAGGCCGAGGCGGGCAGATCACTTGAGGTCAGGAGTTTGAGACCAGCCTGGCCAACATGGTGAAACCCCGTCTCTACTAAAAATACAAAAATTAGCCGGCCGTGGTGGCAGATGCCTGTAATCCCAGCTACTCAGGAGGCTGAGGCAGGAGAATCGCTGGAACTCGGGAGGCGGAGGTTGCAGTGAGCCAGGATCGCGCCATTGCACTCCAGCCTGGGGGACAAGAGAGAAACTGTCTCAAAAAAAAAAAAAAAAAAAAAAAAATAGTATCTGAGGCCTAAATTAACTGGGCTATATGGAAGCTGGAGGTTGCAGAAAAGCTCTGCACTCCTGAAGCATAAACTGCCATAGGAACCCCACAAATAATTTGTATAAGCATTTGGTTCATGGTAGCTTACCCTCCAGTCATACTGTAAAATACATGTCTGCACCAAGACAGGAACAGCATCTAAAAAAACAGGGCACATAAAAAAGCATAAACCTGAGCCCATCTCTCAAGAAAATTAAGAATGGCAGTGAGGTATACCCAAGTACCTATCTTTTGCTAAAGAAAAACCTTGGGAGGCTGAGGTGGGCAGATCACGAGGTCAGGAGTTCGAGACCATCCTGGCCAACATGGTGAAACCCCGTCTCTACTAAAAATACAAAAATTAGCTGGGTGTGGTGCCACACGCCTGTAATCCCAGCTACTCGGGAGGCTGAGGCAGGAGAATCACTTGAACCCAGGAGGCCGAGACTGGTGAACCAAGATCGTGCCACTGCACTCCAGCCTGGCGACAGAGCGAGACTCCGTCTCAAAAAAATAAAAGAAAAACCTTGGGATGGAGTTAATTCATAACTGAAGAAACAGGCAAAAACTGACTCTTTGGGGCTCATACAAGACAATATCACAGGACAGAAAGTAAAAAAGAGCTAAGTTCCTACTTTCACTGTGTTGTCAATGTACCTGAATAAGTTCCGAATCCCAGCTTGTGGGTTCGAGTACCCTTGGATAAATCATGTCATCAGCCTGCCTGAAATCCTCTGGTAACTTCCCACTAAATTTAGAATAAAATCTCATTCCTTCCCCGGACTACTAAGTCCTGATGGCTCTCATCCCTACTCAACTTTCTATCTCAATCCTACCCCTTTCATTAAGTCCCAGCCACTTGAACATTTTTTCACTTCCTGGAACCGGCTCAGCAGTTTCCTGCCTTGGGGCATTTGCATGTGTGTTACTTTTTTCCTGACAGTTCATCATTCAGATCAGAGGTCACCACTTAGGAGGTCCTCCTGTGACCCATTCTGAAGTGACCCTCTAGACACACTCAATTCACATACTGTGATTTACATTATTAAGCAGGATGTAATTACAAACTAATATTTTTATTGCCTCTTCCCCACCTCACAGCCACTAACTAGGATATATGTTACTCACTTACTAACTAGGACACAGGGTCTCACCAGAGCCTAAAGTGGAATCTGCTATATGCTAATTTAAGTGTTCAATACATATATGTTGAATTAATAACTGCAAGTACAGAAGGTACTAACTTTTGAGTCAAAAGGACTAGCTGACTTCAAATAAAAATTCTAAATTCTCAAATATTAAAAATATGTTGGGATATAGCCCTAAATTCACAACTGAGATGAATTACACCATTCAGAAGGTTGTGGCTTCTAAGAATCTGAACAAAAAGGAACCAGGCAGAAATGCCAACTTAAAATGAAAATGTTTATATAAATTAACCCATCCAGTTTAAAGTAGATTTGCTATGCTTCACTTACTTAAGGAAGAATATATACTTCCTATATTAATAAATCACATCAAATAAGTAGGAAGTTTCAATAACAAGCCTGTAGATACATTGAAACCCCTTTTTATATTAAAAGTTAAAATGAAAGACAAATCCAGATTGAACATAGTGATTGCAAAATATAATGCAATTTTCAACAATTAAAATTATGAAAATATACAAAATTGATGGGCAACACAACTAGGCATTTGTACATTTTCCATTATGTGGAGAACACTACAAGTTTCTCTACCTTTTATCTACATCAGATAAATGATTTAAACCAAATGTTTGCTTTGGAGAGTCTTAACTTAGGATCTCAGTAGTATAAAAAGCAATAATTTTTCAGTCTGTAAACAGTAGTCGTGATTTTTCTCCTTTCCTTTTTTAAATATCAGTTTACCACACAAAAACAAACAAAACAAAAAAACCCATACAAATCAAAAACAGCAGCAGCAGCAATGGGTTATTTGGGAATTCTCTTCAAATACCAATGGCATACGATTGCTGGGAGAGGGTGCTTTTTACTCATGTAAGAATATATATATATATATATTTTTTTAACTGTACACAATTTATAGTACATGAGGGTTTCCAAAAGAACAGATTGATAAGAGATATTGGCCATTTCTGCATAATTTCATTCTTTTTACAATTATCTCAAAATGTGAAAGCTGGATCTAATTGAAATGCTACATTTAGTAGGAAAATCAGCAAATAACAAAGGAAGCATAACCTCAACATAACATTATTTGTCATTAAAGCCAGTAGAGGTCCCAGATATCTTTAGGCAAGAGACTGGTTAGGAAGACCACTAGAGTCACACACTGTCCCTGAGGACCAAGGCTAGCCCACTGAACATACATATGCTAGATTGATCATGGTCAGTCGATAGACTTTTTCAAAGAGCATTTCTACAGTACAGTACTTTTTTGGATATTCAGAGAGACATCATTTCAAGAACACACGCCATACACATGTACCCCACCCTCCCCAGCAGACACACACAAAGTTCCATCTTAAACAGGCCATAGTTTTATGAAAGAATATGTTGTCATTACATGAAATTCAGAATTAACCACAATTTTCCATTCATCTTGTTCAAGACAGTTCTTCCTTTTGGGATAGGGTATATGACCAGCTGTTGCTACTCATATCAAAAATAAATTTTTGAAATTAGTTGATGGACTAGGATTTCCAACAAGCCTTATTTTGAACAGGTAATGTAGTAATTGTTTAAAATTTCCTTGGAAGTTTAAGCACTGTATCAAATTATGAATCTAAGAAAGTCAAAATGAAGGGACAAAATGCAATTACTTTGCGTACACAGATATTCCCAGCTCTCTTGGTTGCTTTTAAAAGAAAAAAGTACCACATTTCACTGGAGCAGTGCAGGTTGGAAAGCACCTTTAAGGTCTTCAAGACCAATCCTCCATTGGATGCTTAATTTCCTCATCAAATTCATTTCTTTGCTCTTACAGAATTAAACTTGAACTATATTTAGGTAACAGACCAAAAACAGAAGCAGGGATTTAAACAGAAAAATATTATCAAAGAAACTGCATAAATTGTAGGACATTTTCAAGAGCAATTTTTACCTCTTCTATCAGACCAACCACTGATAGAAGAAGCTAGAGTCTTGGGGACATCCAGGTGAACAAAGTAAACACCATCCTGTTATAATTCTCTAAGTTTGAAGAAAGTAGTCCAAACCTCAAACCCACTGAATAACATTTCTTTTGCCAGCCTAAAACTTAAAGCCTAAGGCTAAATCCATAATATTACATTCCTTCCTTCCCAAACCCCCCACACTTAAAACATTAAAGTATTAAATCTTAATTTTCAAGTCATATATATATGTGTATATATATATATGTATATATATGACTCACAAAACCAATGAAATAAGTATCATACTTGCCTGCATAAATTATGTGCACCTCTCTTCTTTGAAACAGTCATTCCTATCTTTCCCAAATGTATGAAAGACAGAAAGCTAGTCCTCAGCGGGCTTAATAAGTGGTCTGCACTGCTTTCCCCTCTAAACAGCTATAAATTAACAGAGCCTTCCTTGCCTTCTTACCTGAGATTTTTAACTCTCACAGAAGCTAGGATGGGGATGTCTTAACTATCAGACAAAAACTAGCCAAAAACTAAGTGCCTGTGGTCATCCAAGTGGTGCCCTTCTATTGCGGGTGCATATGCCAGATCTCATCTAAGGTCCTTTGTGTACCTGCCTTGGGTTCTGTGGGAGCCAAGTAGCTGAGAAAGCCTCAAAACAAACTTACTGCTGTGAAAAGGGGGTCTGTTCCCAGGCATGGTCTCCCCTCCACTTCTTGTGGCTCAAGGACCAGACCAAAAACTCTCAATGTTATTTATAATGGAAGGGCTATTCAGTTGCTATGAGGTTGATGCTTTATGCTTAATTTCTATTGCTGTTTTTATAGACCCCCCGCTCCCCTGAAAAGATGTTTCTGGTGATGGGAAGAAGAAAAGTAGGGTTCTCTTGTTGCTGCCATATGCATATGAACATGTATAAAAAGTGGTCAAACCCAGATGAGGGTCCCGCTTCTGGTTTATATACAATAATTTAATCAGTTGTATATATTTAACACCTAAAAAAATTCACGATCAAAGTCCTTCATGCATTTTATGAGGAAGTTCTGGATTAAAATCATGGTCAACCAGATGTTGCTTTTGCCTGGGAAGATGGTGTCATATTCTGTTGCAGAGTCATCAGTGCCCATGATAGATACTTCCTTAAATTTTTAGTTTCTTTGTGGTCTCAAGTCTTTTTTTCAGCAGCTCCCCCATTTCCAGAAGTGAGTGCAGATAACTGCTCTGCACCTTCCCTTGCACAGTCTTTGAAAATTTTCTCTCTTCCTATAAAGGAGGAGACAAGAATAATTAGTCTTGTTTAAAAACCATCCCCCCAGATTCTAGTTCTCAGATAAAAGTTAAAGCTGCCATTACCTTTGGTCTCATTGCAAGCTCCATCAGAACACAGTGGGTCATTTTCAATTGCATAAAATGCAAAGAAGGCAAAAGGTCATCACGAATGGGTATTTTTCGATGTGATTCTTCATGGAAACCCTATTGCTTTAGCATCATTACTCTTTCAAGTACCCTTTGTTGTAAGTTATATAAGGTAGAAAAACTGGGCCAGGCACGGTGGCTCACGCCTGTAATTCCAACACTTTGGGATGCCCAGGCAGGTGGATCACTTGAGCCCAGGAGTTTGAAACCAGCCTGGTCAACATGGTGAAACCCCATCTCTACTAAAAATACAAAACTTAGCCAGGCATGGTGTCACACACCTGTAATCCCAGCTACTTGGGAAGCTGAGGCACGAGAATTGCTTGAACTCTAGAGGTAGAGGTAGTAGTGAGCTGAGATCGTGCCACTACACACCAGCCTGGGCGACAGAGTAAAGCTGTCTCAAAAAAAAAAAAAAAAAAAAAAAAAAATTAGAAGAAAAACTGAGATTTCTGATCACTACTTTTTAATCAATAAAAACAGAAAATTATGACTAGTTTGGACATAAAATCCCTACTATTTTGTTATAACCTGTGCAAAGTGGAAATTTTGAGATTTCTGATTGTTTTCATCAGAAAAAAGTAGAAATTTATTACTAATTTGTACATCATCATAGCCACTTTTAATAATGGCCTCAACTTTACCAACTCCATCATTTCCAGTTACAATATTAACAAGTCTCCTCCATATTGACAAAGCCCCTGAGTTCAAGAGACCAACTATATATTCTTCAATATGAGTTATTATTTGCTGGCAAATGTTTGCTGTAGTAGAGATCACAAAAAACAAAAGGGAAGGGGTGAGTTCTCACAGAGAAAGGAGGTTGGCTGAAGACTGATTAGGTTTACATGAAGTTGAGTGCTGCAGAGCCTAGAACTGTAGAAGAAACCGGGAACATACTTTCTGACCCAACAATACTAGTACTTCAGACCTAATTTTCCTTAGAAATACAAATGTGCATAGAAAGGTGTGCACAAATACATTTCACTCGGTAACATATGTAAAAGCAAATATAAAGAAACAACCTAAAATGTCCAACAGCAGTGGTGCATTTATATTCTGCAGCTGTTTAATGAACAAGATTGATCCACAGGCATTAGCTTGAACAGATCTCTTGAATATAAAACTGAATTTAAAATTTTTTTTTTTTTTTAAAAGAGGCAGGACTCACTAAGTGACCCAGGCTGGTCTTGAACTCCTGAGCTCAAATAATCCTCCAGCCTTGGGCCTCCCAAAGTGCTGAGATTACAGCCATGAGCCACTACACCTGGCCGAGTTTACATTTTTTAAAGTACAAAATAATACAATAATACTGTATATTTTCTCTATGAATATAAATACACACAAAAAGGTCCTAACACACAGCCAGTTTCACTGGGATACCCCATAGGAAGGAAGAAAGGGAATCAGGACTAGAGGTCACAGTCCAGAGGCCTTATTCACAGTGTTTCAAATTTAGAAAGGGAGGAAAGAAAGCAGAGGAGCCTAATGGAAACTGAATTGAAGAGATTTTTACCTTTAAAAGACAATTAGCCAAAACTATATGCATCAGGTATTTGGTAGTGCTCAGTAACTATATGAAACATGACTTTAACAACATAAGGCCGATTATTGCTTTGTTTAATCCTTGCCATAATCCTATGAAGTAGGCATTATTATCATTTCCATTTACAGATAAAGAGATTGAAGCCTAGAGAGGTTAGGTAACTTTCCCAAGGTCAAAAGACAAGAACAGAAGCTAGGGCTTGAAAAATCCAGAGAGTATGGCCAAGTTAAGGATAACCTCTAGAACTCTGAAAACAAGAACTCTTGCTCATCATTCCAGGATGCAGACAGATCTTTTAACATAAACAACCACTTGATAGTCACAACAGGGCTATTGTGCCTATCACCTTCATATCTAACAGTACTTCCCGTATACCATAAGCTCTGGCCCTGCCAACTGTGTCACACTGCGCCACAGAATTCACTTTCCTGCCCCTGTGCTTTTATCTGTGCCTCCTTCTGCTTGGGATCCTTTTCCTACATTTCTTTCTACCTGGTGAAAACCAATTAATCTTCCTCAAATGTCCCCACTCTTCATTAAAGAAAGCAGACATGTTCATTTTGAAAGGAGGTACTTTTTCACTCACTAGGTTCAATATGAACATGTCTGCTTTTTTTTTTCTTTTTTTTGAGACGGAGTCTCATTCTGTCACCCAGGCTGGAGTGCAGTGGCGCAATCTCGGCTCACTGCAAGCTCTGCCTCTGGGGTTCACAACATTCCCCTGCCTCAGCCTCCCGAGTAGCTGGGACTAGAGGCGCCCACCACCACGCCCGGCTAATTTTTTTGTATTTTTTTAGTAGAGACAGCGTTTCACCGTGTTAGCCAGGATGGTCTCCATCTCCTGACTTCGTGATCTGCCTCCCTCCGCCTCCCAAAGTGCTGGGATTACAGGCGTGAGCCACTGTGCCCAGCCCATGTCTGCTTTTTTTAATCAATCTTTGGTAATGTGAACTGCTCTGAGCCCTTTCCCACAGTAAGCACTCTGTTCAAAGTCTAACGTTTTTAAGCTTTACAAAAGAGGGGCTTACAATCTCTTAAGGCTGGTGTGCTAAGGAAAATTCTATTCATTCCCTTCCCTATGAAGGTCTGGGGCTATGATGATGGCTGCCCTCAGGTTACTGGATAAATTCCCTCATCAGCAGTTTAGCTCAGCAGTTTAGCTCAGACAAACTCCCGGAGGGAAGCATTTTCTTAAGATCAGTTTCATCACTGGACCAACAGGCTAGAAACAGACGACTCCACCACTGTCCTTCTTGCCCCTACCAAAATCCTAAACCTACTCCAGGCCGGTGAATTAACATTTACAAAAAAGAATCGTCATTTTAAGGGCAAAGGCTTTATAAGGATTTTGCTAACTAATAGAATTTGAAAAGACCTAAAATAATATCAGAAGACATTTGATGGTGGTACCTTTGATTCCATACTTGGTTTCATTCCCTTTTTGGTTGGCTTGCTCTAGCCTAATTATTACTGACATAATTACTTCTCATGTCCAGCATTTCTCCTTTCTCAGGTGATAACTGGGTGGCAAGGAAGACAGCTAACTCAGCAGCAGGTAAATTCTATTCAAGAAGATTGTCCCTGGATTTCAAAATATGGCTGGTTCCATGTTGCTCAAAATGCTGGCATTAGTTTTCATAGTAAAAGAACAACCCCAAAAATGCATAGAAAGGAGGACGTATGGGGAGAAATGAAGAGGGGAAAAAACCTACCACCAACAACACAACAAGAAACTACTGCCAAGCACCTTCTAGTCACAAGTCTTATAAAGAGGAAATGATAAATTGAACTTTAACTTGTCCTTGTGATAAAGATGAGAGAGAGAGACAGAGTGTTTGTGTGTGTGTAGAAAACATTGCCGATTGCCTACAATCTCTTACCGGTGAGAGAGAAGTGTCTTCTAAAATAAGTTCTTCAAGTTTAAGTGCAATTAGATGTGTTTCAAGCCCTTTAATATGATCCACAACATTGGAAATTAAAGTCTGAAGCCCAGTAACATAGTCTTGGAAACTGGTAAAGACAGGTGGCTGGGAAAAAGATTAAAAAAGAGTTGAAACATTATCAAACATATTACCCATATCTACATCACAAAAGCTACTGAAAGATGTGAGGGAATTTAAATAGTGGCATTTCAAACCAGTGGTTTCAAGTGAATGAATGGTACTAAAATAACCAGCTAGACATTTGGAGATACAAAATAACACAGTAATATTAAAATAAATTTCCGATAGATTAAATACTTAAATAAAAAAAAATCCATCAAAGCACTGGAAGAAAATTAGGTAACAACTTCTGCAATCATGACACTGACAGCTGAAAAACCCTTTCTAAACATCACACAAAGCTAAAAACCATTAAAAAGATTATCCTTGTTTTTAAAAATATTACTACATTGACAAAAAAAAAATCACTCAAGTTAAAAGACAAATAACAAACTGAAAAAAAAACTGCATCACCTATGACAGGGGATTAGTAACATTATTATGTTAAGAACCCAGTAGCTCAACACATATAAATAGGAAAAATATTACTACCACAATAAGAAACTTGGACAAAGAATAGAAGACATATCAAAGAAATCCAAGAAACATGTGATACAACTAAAAAACCTAGCCAATCAATTAATAAAGCTAGCTTTTCACTCAAGAAGTATTCTTGGACAGTTCAATATCAATAAAATTTTAAAAATCAGTATTAGAAAAAGGAGATACCAATATTCACCTACCAGATGGTTAAAGATACATACTCAACACTGTTGGGGATGAGTACAAATGTATATATGCATATACATTTATTAACTGTATAAATGTATATATACAGTTAATTTCAGATCTAAGAGCTATCCTAAAGAAACTATATTATAGGCCAGGTGTGGTGGCTCATGCCTGTAATGCCAGCACTTTGGGAGGCTGAGGCGGGTGGATCACTTGAGGTCAGGAGTTCAAGACCAGACTGGCCAACATGGTAAAACCCCATCTCTACTAAAAATATGGCCAGGCGCAGTGGCTCACGCCTGTAATCCCAGCACTTTGGGAGGCTGAGGCAGGCGGATCACTTGAGGTCAGGAGTTCAAGACCAGCCTGGCCAACATGGTGAAATCCCATCTCTACTAAAAATACAAAAATTAGCCGTGCATGGTGGCAGGCGCCTGTAATCCCAGCTACTCCGGAGGCTGAGGCAGGAGAATTGTTTGAACCTGGGAGGCGTAAGTTGCAGTGAGCCGAGACCGCGCCACTGGACTCCAGCCTGGGTAACAGAGCGAGACTCCGTCTCAAAAACAACAACAACAACAACAACAACAACAACAAAATTAGCTGGGCGTGGTGGCACACGCCTGTAGTCCCAGCTACTCGGAAGCCTGAGGGAGAAGAATCGCTTGAACTCAGGAGGCGGCGGCTGCAGTGAGCTGAGATCCGCCGCCACTGCACTCCAGCCTGGGCGACAGTGAGACTCTGTCTCAAAAAAAAAAAAAAAAAGAAAAGAAAAGAAATTATATTATAAATGTATCTTTGTGAATCTGTCTGTATCAATAGCAGCATATTTATAATATTCAAAAATTAGAACCAACAATTCATCAATATAATTATAGCATATTAATATAACAGTACAATATATAACCATTAAAAGTAATGAGATATATCTATATTTACTGACATGAAAAAATGTCCAAGATACCCTGTTATATGAAAACAAAAAGGCAAGTTACAGAACCTTCTGGATAGCAGGTTTGTTTACCACGAAAATTTTCCCAGTGGTTATTACTGACTGGTAAGTATATGAATGATCTTCACTTTATTCACACCTTTATGGGTTACTCTGATATCAGAAAAACCATTCTCATTTTTAGAAACCAGAAAGACAACAAAAAACACTACAAAAGACAATTCCCAAAAAGCTATCTGACATGTTCTAGGGCTGAAAGCTTTCATTAGAAGGAGAGCAACAAAGCCAATCTGACCTATACTTTCAAACTTTGCCCTCCTTTTTTTTTTCCTTTTTGTCTTGCTATGTTGCCCAGCCTGGTCTTGAACTCCTGGGCTCAAGCTATTCTCTCACCTCTGCCTCCTTAAGTGCTGGGATTACAAGCATGAACGACCAGTGCCCAGCCTCGAACTTTGTACTCTTGATCAGTTAAATCATCTTTGTCTCTGTTCTTGTTCTTGTTTAATTCTCCTGAATAGAGTGAAGGAGAGTAGCACCCTCATTCATATCTAAATACCCTTTGTTTGTGAATGAATAGTAACACTCAGCAGAGCATCCAATCTAAAGAACTCCTGGATTTAACTGAATTGTTCAGAAAGTCAATTTACAACTGAAACATCAACTTTCTTTTTTTTTTTTTTTTGAGACAGGGTCTTGCTTTGTCATCCAGCCTTGTACAGTGGTGCGATCACAGCTCACGGCAGCCTCAATTTCCCAGGCTCTGGTGATCCTCCTGCTTCAGCCTCCTGAGTAGCTAAGACTGACTACGGGCATGTGCCACCATGCCCAACTAATTTTTAAAAATTTTTTTGTTAAGACAGGGTCTCATTATGCTGCCCAGACTGGTCTCAAAACTCCCGGGCTCAAGCAATCTCCCCACCTTGGCCTCCCCAAATGCTGGGATTATAGGTGTGAACCGCAGCACCCAGCCAACATTTTCAAATGATAATGATTATTATAATGCTATAGCAAACAAAAGACCCCCATTGATAGTAACAGCATAAACTCAAACCTTAATAAAACAGCACATCATGAGCTGTAATGAGCACTAAATTATTTTCCTGTGAAATGGAAAAAAATGTTACTGTTTTTCACATTCAAAAATTAAATCAATAAAGATGGGGAGAGCCCTAAAACTGAATACAAATGGAAATAAACTTTATATGATATTAATAAAAAGTAATCTCAGTTTTTAATTCCAGTTTACAGAGTATCTTAACTGTCTATACTCACTGGAACGTATTCTAAGGACAAAAAGAATTGCAAAACATTTGAACTTTAATGAGTTTGTTATTGGAACTAGTAGTGGAACTGACGTATGAATTCCCAAAACTATTTAGTATTTACTGTGAAACAACAAATAAATATATTGATGATATTTGGATGCAGGGTTCTCACTCTGAGAAAAGGAAGCTACAAAAAGGGAATGAGGGAAAGAGTGGAAAGAACTCTTGAAACTGAGAGTATCACTAAAATGCTGGCTTGAAAGTATCACTAAAAATTCTTTATGTAGGCCAGGCATGGTGACTCATGCCTGTAATCCCAGCACTTTGAGAGGCCGAGGCAGGTGGATCACCTGAGGTCAGGAGTTAGAGACCAGCCTGGGCAACATGGCAAAACCTCATCTCTACTAAAAATACAAAAACTAACTGGGAGAGCGGCATCTGCCTGTAATCCCACCTACTCAGGAGGCCGAGGGAGGAGAATCGCTTGAAACTGGAAAGTGGAGGTTGTAGTGATTGCGCCATTGCACTCCAGCCTGGGCAACAGAGCAAGACTCCATCTCAAAAAAAAAAAAAAAAGTACGTAAAACTGTGTGTGCGTGTGTGTGTGTGTGTGCACGCGCGTGTGCATAAAAACGCTGTCTAGTTCTCGTCATAGAAATAAACTAGAAGCAGTGAACCCCAATAGCAATGAGCACACTAACACCTAGATCTTGGTTTTGAAATTCATTCCCCAGAAAGGAACCAGTGCTCTTGAAAAAATGTCTGATTTCAGTTCACTGAAAAAATACCAAGTATGTGGAGCATTTATGCTGTTCCAGAAAGCGCCCTAAAACTGATGAGGACATGTTAAAGGACAGAAACCAGCTTAAAGGAGCTAGCCAAATTTGGCATAATTTGAGCATCCAAATGAAAATTATGATAATGGCTTATAATAAAGTGAACTTTTTAAAAAAGAGTCCATGGTGATACTCAGATAGCGATATTTTAAAAAATACATATATATATATATATATATATATATATATATATATATATATATATTCAAATTGGAATATATTCAAATATGTATGAATGGGTTGGGACATCTCTTATTTTACAAAATAATAGCAGCTGATAAATGATAAAAGACAGAATTTTTAAAAATCATCATTTGGGACACGTCAATGTAATAACTAATTCAGGCGCTGAACTAACAATGAATGCTAAAACCAGTGGGTGAAGGGCCATTGGGAAATAGGATATTCATAGACTCAAGCATTATCCTATAGCTTACTTATTACAGAGGGAAAAAGGCACCTTTATAAAGAAATCTGGTAGATATGTCCTTAATCATATATGAAATCTGAAATCACCAATAATGGGACACAACAACATTAATCACATTAGTGTCCCATTATTGGTGATTTCAGATTTCATTATTTAATTATGGGACACAACAACATTAGTGACTCCTGATTTAACTCACTAAAAAGGACAACATGTCTATATTTAACTTCAATATAAGCAATCAGCTTACATTTAGCAATCAGCTAAATCCAGATTGTGGGACATTCTACCAAAAAGCAAGCTAGTGTCTTCAACAATAAAAACAAAGTAAAAGGTTAAGGAAGCGTTCTAGATTAAAGAAGGGTAAACACACATGACAACTAAAGGTCATGTCAGATCCCTGACGGCATTCTAGTATTTTGAAAAAGGTATAAAAGACATAATTGAGATAAGTGGAAAACTTTGAATACTGATTTTTTTTTCCTGAGACGGAGTCTCGCTCTGTCATCCAGACTGGAGTGCAGTGGTGCTATCTTGGCTCACTGCAACCTCTGCCTCTCGGGTTCAAGCAATTCTCATACCTCAGTCTCCCAGGTAGCTGGGATTACAGATGCTCACCACCATGCCCGACTAATTTTTGTATTTTTAGTAGAGATGGGGTTTCACCATGTTGGTCAGGCTGATCTTGAACTCCTGACCTCAAGTGATCTGCCCGTCTCGGCCTCCCAAAGTGCTGGGATTACAGGTGTGAGCCACCACATCCGGCCTGAATATGGACTTTATTAGATAATATCATTGTATCAATGCTAAATTTCTTGAGTTTGAAATTTTCTTGAGTATTATGGTTTTGCAGAGACCTGTCCTTGTTCTATCCTGATGTGTTACATGTCACAAGTCTGTACTTTCCTTTTACATGGTTCAACAAATGAGAGATAAAACAAATGAGATAAATGGTTAAAAATTGATAATCCAGGTAAAGATCTTTATGGGTGTCATATTAATCTTTCAATTTTTCTGTAGGTGTATAATTTAATTTTTTTTAAGTTAGGGGAGAAAAACAACGCATATGCAGGGATGTCCAATCTTCTGGCTTCCCTGGGCCACACTGGAAGAAGAATTGTCTTGGGCCACACATAAAATACACTAATGTTGGCCAGGTGCAGTGGCTCACGCCTGTAATCTCAGCACTTTGGGAGGCCGAGGTGGGCAGATCACTTAAGGTCAGGAGTTTGAGACCAGCCTGGCCAACAGGGAGAAATCCCGTCTGTACTAAAATACAAAAATTAGCCGGGTGTGGTGGCAGGCGCCTGTAATCCCAGCTACTCGGGAAGCTGAGGCAGGAGAATCACTCGAACCCAGGGGGCAGAGGTTGCAGTGAGCCAAGATAGTGCCACTGAACTCCAGCCTGGGCTATAGAGTGAGATTCCATCTCAAACAAAAACAAAACAAAACAAAAAAAACACTAACAATAGCTGATGAGCTTTAAAAAAAAACTCAAAAAATCTCATAACGTTTTAAGAAAGTTTACGGGTTTGCGACGCATTCAAAGTCATCGTGGGCCATGGGTTGGAGAAGCTTGGCATATAGGATCCTAAGGACTCAACATGGAGGAAAACAGTGAAAAGAAAAAGTAGCATGTGGTCAGATTGTTCCTTGTATATCACTTGTGTTACTGTTATTACCATGATGATGCTGGTTTCTTTTTTCTTCTTTTTCTTTTTCTGTAAATTTAGTTTGTATGGTCGTAGGACACTCTCACAGTAACTGGATACCCAAAGGATAACAGAAATAGTCTGAAAGGAAAAATTGCAAATTCACCAATAAGGATTACACTAAAAATATCTATCAGGAAATTAGAGGCAATGGATTCAACAAATTCTAACGCAGTTCTTCTATGTAAATCCCTTCAATTTCTCATGTGAATCTCCACTCTACTTTCTGCAATCACTCTACTGATCCAGGCCTTCATCATCTCCTGCTCAGAATACTACAATGGCCTAACTCTTCAGCATTTCTTCTGGCTCTCCTAGCTCAAAATCCATCCTCCACTTCACTCCAATTTTCTGTCACTTCCCTGAAGAAGTGGGGACTGATTTAACATCCTTTTCACTCAGAGAAGAGTCCAAATTCCTAGGCATGGAATCCAAAGGTTCTTTACAATATGCCTCTCCCGTCACATCTCTCCAAGCAGGTAAGATACCACCTTACCTGCAAATCTTAACTTACATATGTATGGCAAAATCTACCCAGTTGATCAGTACATATCCTGCACTGTATCAAATTAGCTGTTTATATGTCTTCTCCTATACTACAGTGTGTGCATGTACATATATGTCCGCTTATTACTCATTCACTTAATAAAAATCTCTTAGGCACTTACAGTTTGCCAATCACCAGAACAGTGTACACTCCCCACACAGAGTAGTAAGGGGAGAACAGTCAACAAATATGTGACAGAAATAAAAGAAAAGATAATAGATTATGAGTGTTTGCAATCTTCCTTCTCTTCCCTCTGGCAAAAAAAGAGGAGGGAGTTTTGCTGTATCAGTTGCTGGACACTATCACAATGCATAATATCTTAGCAATTAATAAATGACAACAAATAAAAGAAGCTGGAGGAATTAAACTACATAATAAAGAGTGAGTCAGAAAGGAGAATGAAAACAGCTAGATTTGAGGTGAATCTGGGGAAGTTTAGAGATGAGTACAGCAAATTTCAAGAAGTTTTACCTAAGTATTATGAATGAAATCATCTTAGAATTCTTGGAAGAAATTGGTTTAGAAAATGATTTAAATTGCTTTTCAATTAACAAAAACAGGGATGGAGGGTTAAGTTACAGGTATAAGGTGCCTATTACCTGTTCACTGTTGAAAAATGAATCCTGTAGACCATTAAGAACAACAATGTCTTTTAGGAAGAGAACAAAAACTTACCTCAACAAAGAAAACTAGATTTTCTAAAAGAGTAGGATGTGTTTTCAAGTTACCATCTTTAACTTCTAAGAGGTCACCTTTACATTTACTGAAGACATCTGAAAACAAAAAACATTTTAGTTTTATTCAGCTTTTGTTTCAATGCTATTTTAAGGAACACAACACACAAATAAAGAATAAGCAAATAAAAATTTAATTTAGAAAGCTATTTGTTTTTCATTTTCCATAATGAACCAAACTCCAAAGGATAGACTATCCATTGTAAGTTCTTTAAAAAGCCATGCTGTTGCTCTATAGTCTTCAAAATATAAAAGGTAGCCTTAAAAATTATACATTCTAGTGTCTAAACACCAGCGAAGCCTTTTCAGATAGGCCATCAGCACAATAAGACTAAGACTCTAAGTGAATGATTCAGAGGACTTATGCCATTATGGACTGAAAGACCAAAAAAGTACATTGTAGAAATGCATCTTCATAACAGATAATAAATTTTATTATCATAATCTTAATCATTTTCAGACATTCTTCACCTGGACAATAAAATATAAGACCGAGCCACGCTTGGTGGTGCACGCCAGTAGTCCCAGCTACTCAGGAGGCTGAGGTAGAAGGATTGCTTCAGCCAAGGAGTTAGAGTCCATCCTGAGCAACACAACAAGACCTCATTTCTTGGGGGGAAAAAAAAAATCATTTAGGGTCCTAAAAAGACACTTTTTTTTTTTTTTGAGATGGAGTCTCGCTCTGTCGCCCAGGCTGAAGTGTAGTGGCGCTATCTCAGCTCACTGCAAGCTCCAACTCCCAGGTTCATGCCATTCTCCTGCCTCAGCCTCCCGAGTAGCTGGGACTACAGGAGCCCGCCACCACACCCGGCTAATTTTTTTGTATTTTTAGTAGAGACGGGGTTTCACCGTGTTAGCCAGGATGGTCTCAATCTCCTGACCTCGTGATCTGCCTGCCTCAGCCTCCCAAAGTGCTGGGATTACAGGCCGTGAGTCACCATGCCCGGCCAGAAAGACTCTTATAGATACAAGATGCATATATGTGCCCTTTAACAATTCTATTAAATTATTGGGAATTTAACAATTTAATAATTCTATTAAATTCTTGGGAATTTAATCCCAAGGAAGGACTCAAATAATACCCTAACAATTTGTCCCAAGATATTCATTTCAGCATCAGTAGAAGAAATAACTCATATACATAATATGTCACCAATTGCGATAACATAAAAAATGTTAATACAATACTATAGAATATTACGCAGTCTTGAAAATAAATGGGGTATATATAACTGACATGGAAAGGTATCCAAAATAACAAAAAAATTAAAGTCAAAAAAGCATGGATTACACCATTTCCTATGTTTAAAGATTACTTTTTATCTGTATTTTCATTCACACACATATGTGTTTAGGTGGCATCTAGGAGTATTGACTCCAAAGTGTTAAAACTACTTACTTATCTCTGGGTGATTGGGCTTGGGAATAGGGGAAAGAACTTCGAAGCTATTGCCATACAACCAGATACAAATACAGGAATCTACAGTAGGAAAACTTACCTTTTAACTGGTCTAGTAAAGACTTAAAACTATTTTCTATTCGTTCCTGAATCTCCATTGTATCCTCTAAAATTGAAAAACAAAAAATGAAAAACTTTCAATTCTATTTTTAGTAAGATAAAGAAGCAAGATAAATACCTGCAAGAAGTTCATGGGCAAGGACATTTTCTTCTCTCTACAGACCCTTATGCATTTTTCATTATTTTGAGACAAAAAGAAAATGATAATGAAAGGAAAAGGAAGAATAAAAAGAAAGGCACTAATTACCTTTTTGCCAGAGGTACTACCTAAAATTCCTTAAGAGAGCTTAAAATCTATGTGCTTCAAACACTCTGAATGGTAGGATCTACTAACCTTATGATTTAAAAAATAAATAAATAAAAGGAAAAGGTCTATGGAGTATTTGTGATTTTCACTAGGAGCTTACAAAAGAAATCTCTTCTCTACAAAGTTTAGTGCTTCTTATTTTTATTTTTTTTTTTTTTTGAGACAAAGTCTCGCTCTATCATCCAGGCTGGAGTGCAGTGGTGCCATCTCGGCTCACTGCAACCTCTGCTTCCCTGGTTCAAGCGATTCTCCTGCCTCAACCTCTGGAGTAGATAAGACTACAGGCGCCCGCCACCTTGCCTCGCTAATTTCTGTATTTTTAGTAGACACGGGCTTTTGCCATGTTGGCCAGGCTGGTCTCGAACTCCTGACCTCAGGTGATCCGCCTGCCTTGGCCACCCAAAGTGCTGGGATTACAGGCGTGAGCCACTGCGCCCAGCCTACTGCTTCATTTTTAAAATCCAACAGCCTTTCAACAAATGAAGAATTTCTTCAACTTTTGGACCTAACAAGTGATTTTAAATATGGAATGGACTTAAGCTTCTAAAACATTACTTTGTAACCTACGACTGTACCCTCTCATACACTACACCACACATTTGCAGAACAGCTTCCAGCTTCCATGTACTCTAAAATTTTCCAGATGTGAGGTTATAGACATTTTATTACGTGTACTACATTTTCTATGACAAAGACCCTATAAACACACAGTGTACACTTACCTAAACCACTGGTATCCAGCTCATAAATATCATTGACAAGATAAAAAGAGCTTATCTGGCACTGAGAACAGCCAGAATTAAAGAATCCACCCATTCTGGTAGGTACAGGACCAAGGAAAGGATACTGGAAAAAAGGGAGAAAAATAATGCTCTTTTAAATCCATCTAAATGCATACAAAATAAGAAAATCAGGTAACTAGTAGATAAAAACCTGTCTCAGCGGTTCAGCTAAAAGCCACTAATCAGCAAACTAATAACTGAATCATTACAGTAAAAACAGAACATTTATATTAATTTGTTGCTAGCTATTAAAAACTTAACACCACAAAAAGTTATTTTGCTTTCTCCCTCACTAGTCTGGATATTGAGGAAGCCTCTGCAATTCCCTCTGAGTCTAAAATATTCCTCTTTCTCCTGCAGAAGCCATAAACTGGGACAAAACAATTCCTTACTACTCACCCACCCCAAACTCCTGTTTATAAAACAGTCATAAATATAATTATTGCAACTTTGATGGTAAATATGTATTGATGGTACCTGAATATCCTTCTCAATAAATCGCTTTCCTGTCTCCAGGGTTGCCTCCAGCTGTTGAAGGAGCAAACGAAGAATATCAATCCGGGAGGATACCCCATTCTCGGCAGTCTTCTCCGAGTTCTTTGGCTCCACAGGGTGGTTGAGACTTGGAAGTCCACTTATCAGCCTCAATGTTAAGGATCGGATTCTTAACCACAAGGTCTCCTCCTCTAAGGAAAGTTTCTTATGTTCTTCAGAAACGTCCCTTAAACAGAAACATCCCCAAATTATCTAACTTATTCAATATTCAATCCATTGCTTTCAATTTTTTTTTTTTTTTTTGAGACAGAGTCTTGATCTGTCGCCCAGGCTGGAGTGCAGTGGCACTATCTCTGCTCACTGCAAGCTCTGCCTCCCAGGTTCATGCCATTCTCCTGCCTCAGCCTCCCAAGTAGCTGGGCCTACAGGCGCCTGCCACCACGCCCGGCTAATTTTTTTTTTGTATTTTTAGTAGAGACGGGTTTTCACCGTGTTAGCCAGGATGGTCTTGATCTCCTGACCTCGTGATCTGCCTGCCTTGGCCTCCCAAAATGCTGGGATTACAGGCGTCAGCTACCGCGCCTGGCCTCAAATCATTTAAAGTTAACTTTCACCAGTTAAGATGCCTTTGAAGGGTTCCAGCTTTCATTTACTAGCTGAATGACCTAAGACAAGCCAAAATGTTCTCAAACCCCATTTCACTATCAATAAAATGGGAATGATAACCTATTTAACAGGTCATTTTTGGCTGGGCACGGTGCCTCACACCTGTTATCCCAGCACTTTGGAAGGCCGAGGTGGGCAGATCACGAGGTCAGGAGATCGAGATCATCCTGACTAATACGGTGAAACCCCGTCTCTACTAAAAATACAAAAAATTAGCCGGGCGTGGTGGTGGGCGCCTGTAGTCCCAGCTACTCAGGAGGCTGAGACAGGAGAATGGCATGAACCAGGGAGGCGGAGCTTGCAGTGAGCCAAGATTGCACCACTGCACTCCAGCCTGGGCGACAGAGCAAGACTCCATCTCAAAACAAAACAAAACAAAACAAAACAAAAAAAACAGGTCATTTTCCTTATAAGTGACACTTTGTTCTCTGATTATAAAAATAATACATGAGGACAGGTGTGGTGGCTCACACCTGTAATCCCAGCACTTTGGGAAGCTGAGGTGAGAGACTGCTTGAGGCCAGGAGTTGGAGAACAGCCTGGTAAACATAGCAAGACCCAGTCTCTAAAAAAAAAAAAAAAAAAATACAAAAAATTGGCTGGACGTGGTGGCACACACCTGTAGTCCCAGCTACTAGGGAGGCTGAGATTGGAGGATTGCTTGAGCCCAGGAGTTCAAGGCTGCAGTGAGATATGGTCACGCCACTGTACTCCAGCCTGGGTAAGATCCTGTCTCTAATAAAAATAATACACAACATAAAAAATGCAAATGATAGAAAAATGTAAAACGTAGAAAAGGTGCCCTGATAACCAATACTCACAGTATTATCAAGTTTGGTATAGATCTTTTTAGACTTTTGTAATGTGGATGTATAAAAGTCTAACTAAAAATAGCGGGTGTGGCCCGGTGCAGTGGCTAACGCCTGTAATCCCAGCACTTCGGGAGGCCGAGGCAGGCAGATCATGAGGTCAGGAGATCGAGACCATCCTGGCTAACACAGTAAAATCCCATCTCTATTAAAAATACAAAAAAAATTAGCCGGCCGTGGTGGCACACGCCTGTAGTCCCAGCTGAGGCTAAGGCAGGAGAATTGCTTGAACCCGGGAGGCGGAGGTTGCAGTGAGCCGAGATTGCGCCACCGCACTCCAGCCTGGACGACAGAGTGAGACTCCATCACAAAAAAAAAAAAAAAAAAAAAATAGGGGCTGGTTGCGATAGCTCACACCTATAATCACAGCACTTTGAGTGGCCCAGATGGGGGGATCAACAGAGGTCATGAGTTTGAGATCAGCCTGGCCAACATGGCAAAACCCCATCTCTACTAAAAATACAAAAATTAGCCGGGCGTGGTGGCAGGGACCTGTAATCCCAGCTACTTGGGAGGCTGAGGCAGGAGAATCCCTTGAACCCAGGAGGTGGGGGTTGCAGTGAGCCGAGATCATGCGACTGCACTCTAGCCTGGGCGACAGAGACAGACTAGGTCTCAAAAATAAAAAGTAACTAAAAATAATACTTACACAACTTAACAATTTTAAACAAATTGGTTACAGTATGCAACAGAGGCTCCATCTAAAAAAAAAAGTAACTAAAAATAGTATGTATGCAACTTAAGTTTAAACAAATTGGTTACAGTAATTACATTATTTTGCAAACTTCATCTTTTTATGACAGTATGTGTAGAAAAGAGTTAACATAGCAGGCCTGCAGCTATTATCGTTAGAAAGGCCTACTTGCAAGGTTGGCCCTTGGCTGATGTCTGGGAACTTTGCACTCCAACTGTTCCCTAAAATGGTAAGAGTGACTCGCTGTGCCTAGATTGTTTATATAAACCATGTTGTTTATGGTGAATACCTGCTTTCTTTCCACTCAGGATAGACAGAGTGTACCCACATAACAATGAAACCTTAAGCACCAAGTCTCTACTGGGTTTCCCTGAGCAGGAACATTCCACCTGTGTTACTGCATTTTTCCCTGCTGGAGAAAGGAGCATACTCAGTGTTTCCCCTCAGAGGAGGGAGAAAGCACTGGAAGTCTGAGTTCTCCCGACTGTGCCTGTTCCTTTTTCCCTTCCGGATTCTGTCATGTGTCCTTTCACTGTAATAAACCTTAGCCGTTGAGTGCAACTATATGCTCAGCCCTGTGAATCCTTCTGGGACTCAACAATCCTAAATCACTGAATGTGGCCTTGGCAACCCACAAATCACAGAATTTTCAGAACTACCTCATATACACTTCTTAGCATGTTTCTGCATTTATTTCCTTAGGTTCTACTTTCCTAGAAGCAGATCTGCCAAATTAAATGGTATGTGGCATTTTAAATCTTGATACATATCACTACAACTCCCTATAGGAAGACTGTATAAAATTTATCCCTGTGTAAATGCATAATAAGTATTTACCACACAGCCTTGCTGACCACAAGTATTCATCTTTTTTGCTAGAAACAAAATCTTTATTGCTGTAAGATGTGTTTCTTTGCCCAATTTCTTATTTTCTTATTGACTTATTAAGAGTTCTCTCTATATATGAAGGATACTTGTATGAAGAAATTTACTACAAACCTTTAGAACTTAACAAATTTATTATTTCTATTTACAGAAGTTAAATCCTTTATGTTTCCAGATTTGGTATAATACTAGGAAAGGCTTTCCTCACCTATTTAAAAATATTTTCTATATTTTCTTCTAGAATTTCTAAGGAATCTAGAATTTAGCATACAGTCTTTAATCGATCTGGAATTCTCATATATGCTGTGAAGTAGATCTAACTTTTAGATTAACCAGCAGTCCCAGCATAGGGGTGAGCTATACTTTCTTCATTTGGCTTACCTATATTTTCTGATCCCTACAACAAACACATGTTATTTTATATTTGTGTAAAGTGAAGTTTGTTTTTTTTAATTTTAGATTCATCCTAATTCTTTTTTTTTTTTTTTTTTGGAGATGGAGTTTTGCTCTTGTTGCCCAGGCTGGAGTGTAATGGTGCGATCTCAGCTCACTGCAACCTCCGCTCCCTGGGTTCAAACAATTCTCCTGCCTCAGCTTCCCGAATAGCTGGGATTACAGGCACACGCCACCACGCCCAGGTAATTTTTGTATTTTTAGTAGAGATAGGGTTTCACCATGTTGGCCAGGATGGTCTCGAACTCCAGACCTCAAGTGATCCACCGGCCTCGGCCTCCCAAAGTGCTGCAATTACAGGCCTGAGCCACCGTGCCCAGCCCAACCTAATTCTTTAAAAATAAACTGCTTCACCCAGGAGTTCGAAGCTGCAGTGAGCTATGATCTTGGTCTCTTTAAAAAAACAAAAAACAAACAAAAACTTTAAAAATTGCTTGGGGTTAAATTCCAGTTACCTGTCTTTTGGATCCCAGCTGAAAAAAACATTTAAGTCTCTGTTGTCTCGCAAATCTTCCCATGGAATGTCATCTTCTTCTGGCCTAAGGTTCATTGACTTTATACTTTCTGCTAAACTGGTTGATCTGTGATAGAGAAAAATCCACATATTATTTTAATAGTAAAATAGCCAGAAAATATTATTAATCAGGACTTCCTGTTTTACTAGACAGGAAGGGAAAGAGGAAGGAAGGGCTCATAATAAGGTGAAATAGAACCAAGCGCAGATCAAACTGGCTTGCTACATGGCAAGAAAAAGGCTTCTGGAAGCCCACACAAAACAAAGGGGATCAGCATTAATTCCTGAAATCTCTTGATTTGTAGGGGAGGCGGAACCTTCGTAAGCACAATATGGACCAGGCATTGATGACCATGACCTAAATGGCTTCTGTAATGGTCTCAAGATGTTGCTGGCAGTACTCTACCATTCCCCATGACATGTGCCAAGTTCTGTTTCCCCACTGTCTCTCTCCCTTTTTTCCCCCTATTTTACCTTAAGCCTGCCAATAACACCCATGAGCCCATTAATGGCTCTTAACAACTGATCTAATCCCTTAGTTCCTTTATAGCTCTCATGCAATACTTACATATTTGCTTCAAGTAGAAGGTCTAACAGCATCCGTTCAGTACGGACTTGTGCAAAATGAAGAGAATTATTCAGCCTGTTCCTAAAAGCGATAAACTCTGGGATCTTCTCAAATGCACCATATTTGTAAGCTTGAATAATATATTCTGAGGTCTGAGAAGGAAAGACATCACCTTGGTATAAATAGTTCACAAGTCAGGCAATGTAAGCAAACCTTGCCAGCCAAAACAAAACACTCAAACTAAAATTAAGTTTTAAATCTAATCTTTAAAGGTCTTGGTCACCAAGTAGAATATTAGCTTTTTAAAATGTTTTTCTTCCTTCTTATACTTTAGACAAATGTCTCCTTTACTAATATTACTAATTGTAATAACCAGCTTCTGCCACCATCACATAAGCCTTCTCTTGGCAGTCATGTCTTTCAATTCAATAGGAACTGAGGTTTTGTTTTGCCACATCAGTCAAAAATTTGGTTAGTGCCATTCTGGAAGGGATGTTACTCCATGTTTTTCTGCATCTAAGATAAACTGTGTTTCATACAAAGGTTCCAAAAGCACCAGAATAATAGAACCACCTGCCCCCCGCCCCCCCAAATAAAAACCACTCTCCTTCAGAAAAAGACAGGCTGCTCCTTGGTTTTGCTTATTTCTGAATACTGTATTAGAAACACAGGGCATATGAGCATTACGTCAGGATAGAAGTAAGACACCAAACAAAAGACCTATCAAAATTCATGTCATAATCTATTCTGAGGACAAAGACTTCAAGAACCAAGTTTCTTGTCCATCTACATTACGTAAGACCTCTGCTGGAAATTTCCTTAAACAAGTATGTGAAGGGAACATTCACCACATGTGCTTTAATTGTAGCTTAATACATATACAGAGATCAAACATTACAGAACAGAGGCAAGATAAAGAATTCTAAGCAGAAATTCTGGCACAATAGAAGAAAATCTCAGGGAAGAACATTTCATGGGTGTGGGTCTATGCCATCAGGATCAGAAGACAGGAGATTACCCCTTTGGGCCAAGGAAACTATTATGCTCAAAGCTGATGTCTGCCCCCAAAAAAGATCCTTTCTAGAAAAAACAGTCTTTTTACACAGCCTCAGTTAATCAGCTCTGCCCCCATCTCCATTACGTCTGAATAATTTGCCCAGTAGGAAAATAGGCCAATAGTCAACAACATACCCTCTGATATACAGCCTTGCAGGGTTCATTTCAGGCCGCGGGATTGCGCCACGGGCGCTAATTCAACTGCATTCGATGCGGCTTTTAAACCCCCATGGGACACCTCGGCGAGCTGTTTGCCTGCAGTATCTGGAGAAATTAAAGACGGACGGACACAAGAAAATTAAAAAGATTACTTGTGATCCTGCAGGTTTCAAGAAGGACTACCTGAAAAAGCTCGAGTATACCTTCTAGCTTGATTAAAGGACAGTGATACACCCTATCAAGAGGAGGCCAGGATACTCTAAACACATATGCCTATCCTATGGCCCCTTGGCTTAGAAAACACAGCAAGGTTTACTACTATTAGCCCTTGTAATAGGAACTTACAGCTGGGGAAAAAAAAACAGCTGGTTAGGAACACATGATTCAGTAATTAATCAAAAAGAAAATATGACTTTAGTAATTCCAATCAAAGTTATAATTACAGTTCCAAAGTATGCTATGATTTAAGGAGGGAACCCAGCCTTACCAAGTGTAGAGGCAGTTTTAATTTCTAAGTGGTCCGTGGAACACCACTTTATTTAAAAAAAAAAAAAAAAAAGGCAATAGCTTTTCAAAGAGAAAAATAAGGGGCAACAAAGAGAGTATAGTCTTTAACAAACTAAGAAGGTAGTCACAGTTCTCTGGCTTATCTTTTTTAGATAGTCCTTCTGTAACACTGCAGTAAAGTACCACTGCAGAGCTAGACAAGGGCCTGGGATGCAACCACTAGGACCAAGGCTGTGGAAGTAGTACTACGTGAAGAAACAACCCCCTACTGGAACTGCAGGCAAAACTGAAAGCCACAGGCACTTTAAAGACTTTTGAATATCAAAGTATGTTGTCCGTACCTATTTTCTACTCATTTATGCACCAATGAGGCTATTTAGATCCCGAATGGATTCCTGAAATGAACCCTGGTCACTGTAAAAATTAGTGAAATATATGGACATAAAACCCCTGAATAATGACCTTTGTGAATACCTAGAGATTATATTTTCTTTTATTTACTTTTTTTTTTTTTTGAGACAGAGTCTCACTCTGTCATCCAAGAGTGACAGCTGGAGTGCAGTGGTATGATCTCAGCTCACTGCAACCTCCACCTCCCAGATTCAAGCAAGTCTCCTGACTCAGCCTCCCAAGTAGCTGGAATTACAGGCGCTCGCCAACACACCCAGATAATTTTTGTATAAAATAGAGATTTTAAAGGGAAATTTTTAAGAAGTAAAAACACGTAAGTGACTTTTAAAGATATGAAAATCTAGTGCTTATTTTCATATTTTTAAAAATCTATTCCAAAGTAAGATGACAACAGAAAATAACCTTTCTAGAAAGAAAATCCCTATGCAGACCTTCCAAATACAACTTTCAATCCCATAGCACAAAACATTACTAAGCAAAACACTAGATTTTCCATTTAAGTAAAAGTGTCCTGTCAAAGAGCTAGGTGGGAATTGAAATGCATCAGTCACCCAAGGAAAAAGCATCCGGGGATCCCAAAAACTACCAAGAATAAAAGATGCATAGTATAGAGCTCTGGATTTGAAGAGAGATATTTCTGATACTCTAAGCACAAGGTTGAACACACACAGTAAGACACTACAATCATAATCTTTCTTAGCCTTAGATTTCTTTAGGAAACAGTTCACACCACAGTCTCTATCTGGCACTCAACATTAAGGTCAAGCTACATGTTCCTAGCTGTACCATATTTTTCTTTTTTGGTGGGGGGACAGAGTCTCTCTCGTCACCCAGGCTGGAGTATAATGGTACAATCAGCTCACTGCAACCTCCACCTCCCGGGTCAAGCAATTCTCCTGCCTCAGCCTGCCGAGTAGCTGGGATTACAGGCACCTACCACCATGCCTGGCTAATTTTTGTATTTTTAGTAGAGATGGGGTTTCACCACGTTGGCCAGGCTGGTCTTGAACTCCTGACCTCAGGTGATCCACCCACCTCGGCCTCCCAGTGCTTGGATTACAAGCGTGAGCCACTGTGCCCAGCCTGTACTGTATTTTTCTTTTGCCTCTAGGACTCTTCAAGATTATCTCCTGTCAGCAGATTTAATAAGCTCTATCTTCTTAGCGGTAATCAAAATATATTTCAAGTGTCCTAGTCTCTGATCAATAAAATGCTATAATTTTATCAGGTTCAACATCACATACATTCAGATGAATTAGTCACTTTTGCCACACACAACCATCAGCAAAACATAAAACAAAGATACAAAAAAAACTCTGAGGATGACACATCCCCTCAAATTGCTCCTAGGGGTCTCCTTTGCCTATATTGCAACACTTTTGTAATTTTATTTTTAGATTTTCTTTCAAAACAACTCTTCAGACACAATATTTGTGGGAAAAAATTAAAGCCTAATTCTGATGTATATAAAGTAATGTGTCTTTATTGACCACATCTTCATGAGTAATACAGTTCTTCTAGAATGCTGCATGATTGAAAGCTAGAGGAAAACCAGCCACCGGGCTGGAATTAATCCCTGATTTACTCCCACTACCTCAAAGCTATTTGAGAAACAAACCTTTGAAAAGGAATCTTCAGTAAATCAAATGTTTCTTTCATCTCTCTTATAAATACAGAAATGAGGCCATAAATAATGAGATGAGGAAACCAATCCTTTTGATTTTTTTTTTGAGTTAGTGAAACCTCTTGAAAACAGGAGGGCAAGTACAGATACTTGAACACACAATGAAAATTCATAGGTTTATAGCTCATCCATGCTAGGTTTTAGAAACCCAACATCCTAGAGATGACCTTCTGACCTCTAAGCCAGGCCAGCACACCTTCTGAGTAACATGCTCAGATGCTGATACTCATTTTCCTCTCTCCCTGATCAGATGCTGTGCCACAAAATGAGGTCTGAACGGAGATACCAATCACTGCAGAGGTTAAGGGGGCCACTTTGGGGAGGGGATACAGGACTAAGAACCAACTAATGGTACACAGCTCATTATCTAAGCACAAGAGGCTGCTTTCCACCTGCTTAGAGCTGTCCTTTGCTACTCCAGCCCTCTAGGCCATTCCCTAAAACTTGTCAGAATGTAATTATCATAAACTGAGAACAAACCTATATCCCATGTTCAGAAATGCTTCTATTTAATACAATACACCCTTAAAGAATTAGATGGAAGATAGATTAGTCATCCTGTTACAGTAAAACAAAAGGGTTTAAAAAAAATCCTCACGAGTGTTTGCCAAGAAGAACCCCAGAAACTAGCTTCCTTGCTAGTTCCTTAATTGCTGGTAGACCATGAGAATGGAAAGCTATGGGCAGATAGCTGGCACAGCCAACTTCAGGCGATGAGGCTTAGAAGTCTGTGAAAACCAAGTAGGCAGTGACCACCCTGGAGACATTCCTTTTCTTCACATTCATTGTTGGGCAGTTTTTTATAATTGGTCAACTGAGTACAGACCGTATGGTTTTCCTACAAAAACCTCGGCTTAACCAACAAGTAGAGCCCAAGTCTGCTTGCAGTGAAAAATATGGTGCAAATCCCATCCTTTCATTATGGCACAGAGAAGCTCTATTTATTGCTACTTTAAAAAACATATTATTCACCTAGGTTTCTCGGAATGCCTTTTAATTTTCTAAGAAAATACAAGTACATTCACCTTTGGCAAAGAGCACAATGGACATACATTTCAGAGTTAAATAAAAGTAACAGAGAGCAGCTGCTATTGCAGGATGTTACACGGCATCCCAGGCTATGAACGCTTATGGACTGTTTCTTATACCCTTGGAAAAGTCTCTTAGAGATTAAAAGCCAGGTCTAAGAGGACTAACACTTCCTAGTCAGTAAATACCAGTTTTTAAATGCAACTTTCCAAGGATTCTATTAAACACGCCCATTCTAACAAACACAAATAACTCTCTACCTCTCCCTACCAGCCTTGGACAGTAAGCTTTGGTCTAAGGGCACTTGCTAGTTCAGCATGGTGCACCTTAACATGTGTACTTGTGACATGTGGTGACGTGCTCCTCAATAGTGTGCAGTCAGCAGACAAGATCACAGTTAAAAAATAGTTTTTCACTTACATCTTTCTGGTTGGAGTGAAAAAACCTGAGTGCGAAGTTACAGGATTGGGACGCAGCAGCATACTGACCTAGAGATTCAGCATATCGGGTCAAAAGATAACTAGATCAGAAGGAAAGAAGGAAAAAAAAAGACATGTTATACTTACTTACCTAGCTCAAGTAACAAATATTACGCTTCAAATTACTTGGCAAAAAAATAGCTAGGCATAAGAAAACACTAAAACATACTCCCACAGAAATGATCTAATTCACCAGTTAAAATTTAAAAAAAAAAAAAAAAAAAAGCCAAAAGTTAACTCAGTTTTGTGGGAGACCTAAAGTTCTGTAACTAGGCTTTCTTACACTCTGATGATTAATGACACATAAAAGTTCTAACAGAACATAATGCTGTCTTCCTAAAACAGCACCACAAACAGAGAAAATGCCATTAAGTGATACTAGCATAATAATAAAGAGTAGTCTAAATACAAGTTCAAAATACAAATTCAAACTTTGTTGAGGTCAATAAATAAATTACATGTGTCAACTTCAACTGCAAAGCGGAAATGAACACTTCAAAATAATGTGTGCTAAGAATAAGGGTTCAAAGTATATAGGTGTTTGCTATCTCTGGGGAAAACTCTCTTACATTTCTAAATTGTGCAAATTTTCAAATTACCACAAAATGCTGGGAGATATAAAAATCTTTCTGGTTTGCAATGGATCATAACAGGTTATTATTTAATCAGAAAGGCTTAATGTCACAATCAACTTTAAAATCTAAGTTAGAGTCCTGTGTACCCCACACTGGTATAGCTGGCTGCTCATTATTCAGAGTATATACTACCAACCCAATGGTATCATGCTGGATATGCTTAGCATCGAGGCTGGAGTAAAGATCCACCACTGGTTCAAATGCACCCAGCATACAGTAGATTCGAACAAGCAGCAATTTGAACTGAGCATTGGAAGGGCTATGGGTTAATCCCTCTTCCAGCAAAGTCAGGGCCTGCCACACAGTGGTCTCATCACCTAGAACCAAAATACAGCATTATCCACTGATCTTGACAGCAAATGAAAGCTTCCCAAAAACAAAAAACAAAACCTTATTGACATCATCACCCCCCCCAATAAATGAAGTTAAATGACAGAGAACAAATTTTAGATATACACCTGTAACCAAAATAGAGAATTTCGCCTCAACAGAGAGTCCTTCAATAGTTAAGTCTATTCTTAAACATGCCCACAGCAAAAACGATGCAGATTTTAAGTGGCCAGGTCTTGTGGGGGGATGTTATAGAATCTCACAGAATCTCAGATTCTGGGAAGAGATGGACTTTGAAGGAAAACTGGAGCTCAGCACCTTGCCCCTGCAGGATTTCCTCTATAAAACCCCAGACAGATGTTATCTATAGACATCATTTTTCTTCCATATGTAACTCTACTAACAGAATGGCAAATAGGATGTTTGAAAATATTTACTCAATAATCAAACTAAAATGATACTTTTTTTGGGTCTATGAAATTTCAAAAGGTACATGTATCTCTAGTCTTCAAGATTAAGTTACTTATTCTTTAGGATCCATCTAAAGAAAATACTATGAAATACAGATAAAGCTTTATATACAAAAATAGTTATCGTACTATCTAGTGATGTAATGATGGGAGGATGAGTAGGTAAATTATGGTAACTTCGACACATGGAAATGTCATATAACTACTTGACGTTAATGAAGAGTTTTTAATTACAAAGGAAAATGTGCAATAATGTTCAGTAAAACACACACACAGAAAATTCAAGTTAGTACAAAGAGTTGATCTCAACTCTTAAAATATGCACAAAGAGAGAGAGAAGAAGAAAACAAACAAAAATGTTAGCTGGACATGGTGGCTCATGCCTATACTCCCAGCACTTTGGGAAGCTGAGGTGGGAGGATCACTTGAGCCCACAAGTTTGAGACCAGCCTGAACAACATAGCTAGACCTCGTCTCTACTAAAAACATTTTTGAAAAAATTAACCAGATGTGGTGGTGCACACTGCCTATGGTTCCAGCTACTCAGGAGGGCTGAGGTTGGGAGGATTGCTTCAGCCTAGGAGGTTGAGGCTGCAGTGAGCTGTGATCATGCCACTGCACTCCAACCTTGGCAGCAGAGTGCAACTTTGTCTCAAGAATAGAAAAGGAAAAAAAAAAAGAAAAAAAAATGCAAAAGTGATAAGAGTGCTTTTGAGGTCCAAAAAAGTGAGATTTTAAGTAAACTACTTTCCAAAATTTATACAAGCTACTTTTACAGTCAGTAACAACAGCAAAAATGAAAGCACCATGCAGTAAGATTTTAAGGTAATATTCTATATGCTGTTTTCCAGAAGAAAAGAAAGATAGGCCGGGCATAGTAGCTCATGCCTGTAATCCCAGCAGTTTGGGAGGACAAGGCAGGGAGATGGCTTGAGCCCAGGACTTTGAGACCAGCCTGGGAAACATGGCAAAACCCCAACTATACAAAAAATACAAAAACTGGCTGGGCACAGTGGCTCACACCTGTAATCCCAGCACTCTGGGAGGCCAGGGAAGCGGATCACCTCAGGTCAGGAATTCGAGACCAGCCTGGCCAACATGGTAAAACCTCTTCTCTACTAAAAATACAAAAATTAGCCGGGCGTGGTGGCGGGTGCCTATAATTCCAGCTACTCAGGAGGCTGAGGCAGAAGAATTGCTTGAACCCAGGAGACAGAGGTTGCAGTAAGCCGAGATTGCACCACTGCACTCCAGCCTGGGACGGAGTTAAGATTCCATCTCAAAATAAAAATAAAATTTAATAATAAATAAAAAATTTAAAAAAATTTAAAATTAACTAAATAAATAATACAAAAACTAGCCAGGCATGGTGGCATGTGCCTATACTCCCAGTTACCCAGGAGGCTGAAGTGGGAGGATCCCTTGAGCCCAGGAGGTTGAGGCTACAGAGAGCTACTATGGTGCCACTGCACTCTAGCCTGGATGACAGTGTCTCAAAATAAAAAAATAGCCTTTCAGAAAAAATATTTGAGAGCACCAACTTCCTAAAACACTCAATCCTTTTGAATTTAAATCAATCTCTTTAAATGCCCTCATCAACTTTCTATTGATTTCTAAGTTCTGCCAGGTGCACCTTGAACAATGATTATGACTGTGACTGGAGTACTTCAACATCCCTATCACTGACTTCAAGAAGCCCTGCATCTTCACAAGATCTACAATTTCATTTTGCAAATGATTCCCATGTATTTGTCTGCACTGCAGGATTTTGGACAATTTACCTTTTTTCTCTCTGCCCTCCATTTCTCTCACCTATAAAACTGTGACAATAACTGTATTATTAAAATGTTTAAATCGGCTGGGTGTGGTGGCTCACGCCTGAAATCCCAGCACTTTGGGAGGCTGAGGCGGGCGGATCACGAGGTCAGGAGTTCAAGACCAACCTGACCAACATGGTAAAACCCCGTCTCTACTAAAAATACAAAAATTAGCCAGGCGTGGTGGTGCGCGCCTGTAATCCCAGCTAGTCAGGAGGCTGAGGCAGGAGAATCGCTTGAACTTGGGACGCAGAGGTTGCAGTGAGCCAAGATCGCACCAATGCACTCCAGCCCTGGCAACAGAGCGAGACTCCATCTCAAAAAAGTAAAATAAGATAAAATAAAATAACATAAAATAAAATAAAATAAAATAGTTTAATTTGTGTAAAGTACTTTCACATGCCTAATAATCAACTGTCAGTTGTTACTATTATCATATGGCCACATATATTGCTCAAAATATTAATATAAGAGACTAGCAAAGCCATAGTCACTATTGGTGAGAACGGATGTTAGGCATCAGTAAGAAAGCCTATCTGTGTGGGGATCAAATTACTACATGATCAGTTCATTAATGTTTTCATGTTAAAATGACTTTTGCTACCCTATGCAGCCTCATGAATCTAGGGGCTCAAATAACAAGTTCTCTGATGACAAGGATTTCACTCTCATCCCTGGTACAATATAGTGTCAGAAGTATTACTGGCCAGGTGCAGTAGCTCATGCCTGTAATCCCAGCATTTTGGGAGGCCAAGGCAGACAGATCACCTGAGGTCAGGAGTTTGAGACCAGCCTGACTAACATGGTGAAACCCCATCCCTACTAAAAATACAAAAATTAGGCCGGGCGCAGTGGCTCACGCCTATAATCCCAGCACTTTGGGAGGCCGAGGTGGGTGGATCACGAGGTCAAGAGATCCTGGCCAACATGGTGAAACCCTGTCTCTCCTAAAAATACAAAAAATTAGCCAGGTGTGGTGGTGGGCGCCTGTAGTCCCAGCTACCTGGGAGGCTGAGGCAGGAGAATCACTTGAACCTGGGAGGCAGAGGTTGCAGTGAGCCAAGATTGTGCCATTGCACTCCAGTCTGGCGACAGAGCGAGACTTTGTCTCAAAAAAAACCCACAAAAGTTAGCTAGGCATAGTGGCACGTGCCTGTAATCACAGCTACTCGGGCAGCTGAGACAGGAGAATCGCTTGAACCTGGAAGGAGGATGTTGCAGTGAGCCACGATTGTGCCATTACACTCCAGCCTGGGCAATAGAGCGAGACTCCATCCCAAAACAAACTAAAAAAAAAAAAACACTACCATATGGTTACATACAATGTCCTACAGAAGTTCAGAGGAGCATAAAATCCCCAGTGGGGAAGGAGTTAAAATCAAGACAGGCTTTGTTAAAGGCACCATTTGAGTAAAACTTAGATGAGGGAGGTAAGAAAGTTATTTCAAAGAGAGGCAACATGATGTTAAGTGATAGTAGCAAAAAAATTTTAAAGTAGATTCAAGACCATAAATACCTAAGAATCTGGAGATGTGGGCACAGGCCAGATTATAAACAGCATTATAAACTATCCCAAAACACTTGACTTTTATCCTCAGGAAAACAGGGTACCTCTGAAGGATTTTTTTTCTTTTTAAATTTTTTAGAGACAGGGTCCTGCTCTGTCACCCAGGCTGGAGTGTAATGGTGTGATCATAGCTCACTGCAGCCTTGAACTACTGGGCTCAAGCCTTGGCTTCCTGAGGTCTGAAGGATTTTAAGAATGGCATGATAAGGCTGGGTGCAGTGGCTCACGCCTGAATCCCAGCACTTTGGGAGGCCGCGGCGGGTGGATCACCTGAGGTCAGGAGTTCGAGACCAGCCTGGCCAACAAGGCAAAACCTTGTCTCTACTAAAAACACAAAAACTGGTCAGGCGCAGTGGCTCACACCTGTAATCCTAGCACTTTGGGAGGCCGAGGCGGGCAGATAACGAGGTCAGGTAATCGAGACCATCCTGGCTAACACAGTGAAACCCCATCTCTACTAAAAATACAAAAAATTAGCCAGGCATGGTGGCGGGCACCTGTAGTCCCAGCTACTCGTAGTCCCAGCTACTCGGGAGGCTGAGGCAGGAGAATGGCGTGAACCTGGGAGGAGGATATTGCAGTGAGCTGAGATTGCACCACTGTACTCCAGTCTGGGCGACAGAGCGAGACTCCATCTCACAAAAAAAAAAAAAAAAAAAAAAAAAAAAAAAAAAAAAAAAAAAAAAAACTAGCTGGGCTTGGTGGCATGTGCCTGTAAACCCATCTACTCTGAGGCTAAGGCATGAGAATCGCTTGAACCCAGGAGGCGGAGGTTGCAGTGAGCTGAGATCACGCCACTGCACTCGAGCCTGGGCAACAAGAACAAGACTCCATCTCAAAAAAAACAAAACTGAGTGCTCTGTGAAATGATCCATGAGGGCAGGGGTTGTGTTTATCTTGCTTACCACTGTCTCTTCAGCCCTTTGTTTCTTCTATAGTTCAATTCTCATGAATAATATGCCATAAGCACCTAAAGTTATTTATTCTCCAAAACTGCTAATAAGAGAAAATGTCAGGGGGTGGGACCTAAAGAAAAGGCAATCCCAGTACCATTTGCTGAATCATCCTTCTCTTCCTCAATCACTCATGATGCTTCCTTTACCATGTCTTATATTTTTATCTTAAATGAGACAAACTATATTCCAGAAAGAATGCATTTTTCTGTATATAAAATTTTTTGAAGTGAATAAAAGATATTCTGTTCCATAGGCCTGTGCATGTATTTTTTAGTCAGTTTCATTGTATTTTAATTTTTGTAGCTTTGTCATAGTATTTTTTTATAGTCATTACTTATTATTCACAAACACTTAAAAACAGAACAGATATCCATTCATTTAACATTATCCTGGTTACAAGGGGATAAACTGGAGACAGGTTTTTTTTTTTTTTTGAGACGGAGTCTTGCTCTGTTGCCCAGGCTGAAGTGCAGTGGCATGATCACAGCTCACTGCAACCTCCGCCTCCCAAGCTCAAGCAATTCTCCTGCCTCAGCCTCCCAAGTAGCTGGGACTACAGGCATGCGCCCAAATGCCCAGCTAATTTTTATATTTTTAGTAGAGACGAAGTTTTTTGCATTTTGGCCAGGCTAATCTCGAACTCCTGACCTCAGGTGATCCACCCGCCTCAGCCTCCCAAAGTGCTAGGATTACAGGCATGAGCCATCGCACCTGGCCAAGACAGGTTTTTCTGGAAGCACCCTAGAAATATCAAGAAAAGCAGAACCTAAAAGCATAAATAAAATTTGTGGATTGTAAAATTAGTCTAATGAAAGAATGCAGTACTTATAATCAATAAAAGCAAAAAGTAAAGTTGAACTGAAATCACTGCTACTTACCTGTTTCCCTCCATACATCAATAAGCGCATGGACAGCAAGGAGACAGTAATAGTCAGAAAATTGCAATTCTGTTTTCAAACAGGTTTTCCCTATGGGGGAAAAAAATCATATCTATTTTAACATTTGTTCAACTATTACTGACCCCAAAGGAGTTTTTAAAAGCAGGAAAGTGACAGGAGGGAGAGGAGGAAAAGTAAAAGAAAATTAAGAATAAGATAAGTACCAGGAGAAAAATATAAGCCACGATTCAAAGGGTTCAAAAGAAGGTGAGACCACACTCAGCTGGAACAGAAGGTAGGGTTCCAGAGCAGAGGTGGTATCCATGATGGTCCCAAAGGGAGAGAAGGAAGATTTGAAGGAGGTTGAGGTGAAGAAAAGAACATAAGCCAAGTGCCATGTATAACTAAATTCACAATATGCTCCTGACTTCATCTAATTCTTTAGACTACAGATAAATACTGACATCTTATAGTCAGACAATTATATGTCTATCACATATATCTAGCAAAGGCCACACCTATCTGAAGATCATCTATTTCTAAACTAAATATTTATCTTACAATTTACAATATTCTTTTTGTTCACTTACAGTCTATATATTAAGAATATTTAGGCCTACAAGCAGAAAATGTGATAATTATCATAAACTATGCAATCTATATGAGCCCCAATCTAATAAAAAGTTAGCTCATCAGATCAAGAAGAATACAGACAACTGAAAGCCAATCAGAATTATTTAAAACTCCAGGCTTAAGAAAGGCTTTACATCATATTACTTAGATGGTCTTCCCAGACAAAATAGTCTCCTTACAAAACTCATTAAAACAGGGTGCTACAGGTGCTTAAAAAACTGCCTTCTAAGTCTTAGTGTAGATCAGGGAACTACTGCACATTTTGAATGGTTGCTCACCAAATTCCAGTCCATGCTGGTACCTTAACATCAATTCTCTGACCACACTCAATTTCTGATTTTTATCCATGGTGTGGTACAAGCCAAGTAACCTCGTCAGCTGCACCACACACAAATGTTGCTGCAGAGCTCTGATGTCAGCAGGCAGTGCCAGCTTATCCTCTGTTGGTGTCGACAAAGGAACAACTCCAAGTAACTGATTAATAAACTGCAAAGTGGGGAAAAAAGGAGCAAAGGTCTCAAAACACAACTAGTCTTCAGTAGGCCATAATTAACAGAAATTGAATGGTCTAGAAAAAGACATCAAGAAAAAAAAAACTAAAATTCCTTTCATAAACCATTTTCTATCTACCAAAATAGCTAAAACAAAAAAAATTTGTGACAGCACACAACACTGGTGAAGCTCCAATGAAACTGGCACACTCATTCATTACTGGCCAAAAGTATTTGTCAATACCACGTACTACAGGCAGTGAAAGATTTTTATACTTCTGAAAATGTTCCATAACTTACAGCATATTAACATAATATATATTACAGCAATGAAAACATTAGGAAGACTATAGAAAAGAGCAGATTACCAAAAAATTAAAAAAAAATTAATCTGTAATTATGCTGATAAATTCTGAAAGGAAAGGTTATACATGGAAAGATACTGTTTACCTTATGTCAGTGACCCTACATTTTTCTTAATTGAACTTATAATTATAGATTCATACTCAGCTATGAGAAATGAGATCCCATGTACCATTCATCCAGTTTTCTCCGAATGGTTACATCTTGCCTTAAAATGTTTTTCATCCTTTAAATTTGGATAAAAATTTAAAAATAAAACCCACATACCAGTTCTAGTTATGTATTTATTAAATACACGCTTATTTCCTCTCACTTCTAAAATCCTATTAAGATGCCAGTAAGGAATAAAAAAAGAAGAGGCTGGGTGCAGTGGCTCAGGCCTGTAATCCTAGCACTTTGGAAGTCCAAGGTGGGCACATCACTTCAGGCCAGGAGTTCAAGACCAGCTGGGCCAACATGCTGAAACCCCATCTCTACTAAAAATACACAAAAAAATTAGCCAGGCATGGTGGCGCGCACCTGTAATCCCCGCTACTCAGGATGCTGAGGCAGGAGAATCGCTTGAACCTGGGAGGCAGAGGTTGCTGTGAGCCAAGATTGTTCTACTGCACTCCAGCCTGGGCAACAGAGCGAGACTCCATCTCAAAAAAAAAAAAAAAAAGTTATAAAAGAAAAAATAGGCCGGGTGTGGTGCGCGGTGGCTCACGCCTATAATCCCAGCACTTTGGGAGGCCAAGGCGGGTGGATTGCCTGAGGTCAGGGGTTCGAGACCTCCCTGGCCAACACAGTGAAACCCTGTCTCTACTAAAAATACAAAAAATTAGCTGGGTGTGGTGGTGGGTGCCTGTAATCCCAACTACTCAGGAGGGTGAGGCAGGAGAATCGCTTGAACCCAGGAGGCGGTGGTTGCAGTGAGCCGAGATCGCACCACTGTACTCCAGCCTGGGCAACAAGAGTGAAACTCCGTATTAAAAAAAAAAAAGAATAAATCCACACAGATCAAGAATATGTGAAGAGGCCGGGAGCAGTGACTCACACCTATATTCCCAACAGAGATGGGAGAATCACTTGTGCTCAAGAGTTCAAGATCAGCCTCGGCACATAGTGAGACCTCATCTCTACTAAAAAAACAAACAAACAAACAAACAAAACACATAGCCAGGCATGGTAGTGCACGCCTGTAGTCCCAGCTACTCAAGAGGCTGAGGCGGGAGGATGACTTGAGCCCAGGAGTTTGAGCCTGCAGTGAGCCATCATTGCGCCATTACACTCCAGCCTGGGTGACACAGCCAGACCCTGTCTCAAAAAAAAAGAAGAAAAGAATAATACATGAAGAAATGAGAGATGACAGCAAATAAAAATCATGAAGATTTCAAAAGATACAAGAACAGGTGGTTAAGTAGTAACTTACGTTGCCAAGAACACTGAAATCTAACAGTATGCAATGAGGCAGACCCCAATAAGCAGGAAGCGCACTCTAGTCACAGAATCTTGGAAGACTCAGAGACTAAGGGCACCAGGTGTCCCTAAAGGCTAAAGTGCTGATGGGACTAAAATAGAATATATTAATTTCTAAGAAGTTAGGCCCCTCCAAAAGTTCACAGATGGAATTTCTAAGTGTGAGTAGAACAGCCTGGGTTTTACAGCCATAAGGCACTGAACCAGAGACAGAGTCAGAGACAGCAGTCATAGCTGAAAACAGGGGAATAAAGTAAAATTTGCTTATTCAGTGATAATTTCAGGCTCCCACCCTATACTCCCAACCATATCGGAGAATGCTATCCGACAAATATGTAAGTTCCTAAACAGATAGTAGCAAACAGGCATTTTGGAATGGAAAGCATTTCTTACATTGGTGAAGAGAAGGGTAGAGAGAACAAAATCTCATGTTTTATCCTAAGTGTATTGGGGGAAATTGATTTGTTATAAACAACTAATCACCTTACACAGAAGGGCACCAATAGGATAAGACTATAACTATAAAAATAAATTATTAAATAAGAAAATAATTTAGAAATATGGAGGAAAATAACAAAAAATTTAGTTGAAAGTGATTTGCATCTGTTGAGCTGGAACAAAAGGAGTGACTACTGCCTCTCAATATAAGCCTTGCGATACTATTTGACTTTTTCAATTTTATACAGTACATGTATTTCTTCTTCCTTTTTTGGGAGGGGGACTCACTATGTTGTCCAGGCTGGACTCTAATTCCTGGGCTCAAGCAATCCTCCTGCTTCAGCCTCCTGAGTAGCTGTGACTATAGGTGTGTGCCACTGCACCCAGCTTCAGTATATGTAATTTTTTGATACAAATAAAAAAAAATTAAAACAAAATCCTACTCATCCTGCAGTTTAACATCTGTAATGAATTTGCTTCAATTTACCTATAATTCTATTAATTTTAATCATTATGATCAGATATATATATTTCATAATTTTAACAAACTGCAGCACTGATTTTCATGTTTTTGTTGTTGTTGTTGTTTTTGAGACGGAGTCTCACTCTGTTGCCCAGGCTGGAGTGCTGTAGTACAACCTCGGCTCACTGCAACCTCTGCCTCCCGGGTTCAAGCGATTCTCTTGCTTCAGCCATTCGAGTAGCTGGGACTACAGTACAGGCATGCACCACCACACCTGGCTAATTTTTGTATTTTTAGTAGACACGGGGTTTTGCCATGTTGGCCAGGCTGGTCTCGAACTCCTGAACTCAAGTTGCCCGTCTCATCCTCCCCAAAGTGCTGGGATTGCAGACATAAGCCACCATGCCCAGCCATTATTTTCATGTTTTTGATTAAATGCTTCTATAGTTTCTACTGCCAGTTCTTCTATTCTTGCAAGCCATTTTATATATTAGTTAGGTTTACTGTGGCCTTCTTTAATGAATTCTAAAGAAACATCTTCCTGACAAGGTTTTGTTACAAAATAATCTGCTCATTATTTTAGTCTGTACAGTTTTACTGCTGTGCAAAAAATTTCTTTAAAAACTAGAATCGTTGAGGCTGGGTGCAGTGGCTCACGCCTGTAATACCAGCACTTTGGGAGGCCGAGGCTGGTGGATCACTTGAGGTCGGGAGTTCGAGACCAGCCTCACGAACATGGAGAAACCCGGTCTCTACTAAAAATACAGAATTAGCTGGGCATGGTGGTGCATGCCTGTAATCCCAGCTACTTGGGCAGCTTAGGCAGGAGAATTGCTTGAACCCAGGAGGTGGAGGTTGCAGTGAGCCGAAATCGCGCCATTGCACTCTAGCCTGGGCAAGAAGAGCGAAACTTGTCTCAAAAAATAAAATAAAATAAAAAAATAAAAACTAGAATCAGCCAGGCATGGTGGCTCACGGCTCACGCCTGTAATCCCAGCACTTTGGGAGGCCAAGGCAGGTGGATCACCTGAGGCCAAGAGTTCAAGACCAGCCTGGCCAACATGGTGAAACCCCATCACTACTAAAAATACAAAAATTAGGCTGGGCACAGTGGCTCAGGCCTGTAATCCCAGCACTTTGGGAGGCCAAGGCGGGCATATCACTTGAGGCCAGGAGTTCAAGGCCAGCCTGGCCAAAATGGTGAAACCCCATCTCTACTAAAAATACAAAAAAAATTAGCTAGGCATGGTGGCGGGCACCTGTAATCCCAGTTAGTCAGGAGGCTGAGGCAGGTTCTCTCTTGAACCCGAGAGGCAGAGGTTACAGTGAGTGGAGATTGCACCACTGCACTCCAGCCTGGGCAACAAGAACGAAACTGTCTCAAAAAAAAAAAAAAAATTAGCCAGGGGTGGTGATGGACGTCTGTAATCCCAGCTACTGGGGAGGCTGAGGCAGGAGAATCACTTGAGCCCGGGAGGTGGAGGTTGCAGTGAGCCAAGATTGTGCCATTGCATTCCAGCCAGGGCGACAGAGCAAGACTCTATCTCAAAAAAATAAATAAATAAATAAAAAACTAGAATCATTTTATTGTTTAGCTAAAACCCCAAAGCAAATGAAACAAAAGATTAGAACATCACCCAGGGCGAGCCACTTCAGGATAACTGAACTCACTGGCTCACTCTTAGGGGCTAGTCAGACTTTAGAAAGATTTGGTTCATAATTCATTAGGACAATTCTCAGATTGACTTGGACAGTTCGTAATCCTCTGACAAACATACTTGCTGACTGGCAGGATATTTAGCTACTGAAGTTATCCTACAGTCAAAAAGTGGCAGCAAAATTACCTCTCTCAAGTAAAATTTACATAGACTAGGACTATAAACTCAATGTAACAGCTTTAAATCCTTATTCTCACAGAGCAGTGACTAGAGCTTATCACTGCTAGCATTCCAGTAAGGGTCATCTGAATAGACGATTCTTACTATGTGGGATCACATGAGATGACCTAAGATTCTCAAACACACCAATGAAGTAGAGCTGTACAGAAAAGGTTACTGGTACTAGATTCATGGTAGCAAACCTTCATAAATCTCATCTAAAAGTAGCAAAGTGTTCCTCTAATGCACCCCCACCATTTGATGCTTCAACTAGCAAGACAATAAGCACTGTAAGACAAGATCAGTTATTCCTTATCTTAGGGCTTAGCACACAATATGCTCGACACTTACTGAATGAATCCCTCCCACCTGGTTTATCTACATTCTACTTCAATCCCTCCAGTAACGTGAAGCTCACACACAGTATTTGAGAGAATTCTCACTACTAAGAAAGATATTTTTCTCAGTGAGCCAAATTCTGAGCTCCCTGTAGAACTTCCTGCTGGTCCCTGTTTTCCTCCCTCTTCTAAAGACAGCTTTTCAAATAAGTGAACGGCAATATCACTCTGACCTTGACAGACCAAACCTCTCCTCCACTCAACCATTTTTCCCTCTTATATGCTTTTAAATCCTCCTATAACCCATAACTCTCCTTTCTGGATGTGTTACAATTTATCCAGAAACTTCTAGGCTTGGCCTGAGCCCTATAACCACAGCAACTCAAACAGAGCTTTACTAAACCAACGTGAATGGCAGCAGTCATTTCAGAACCCCAGAGACCACTGGTTACTTATCAGTTGGGGAATGCACTGCTCTATCTGCCCAAATGTGTAACCCCAAGTCTGCCAAAGTACTGAACCTTCATGGACTACAAATGTGGTCACTAAAAAAATACTCTAATTATATCCACTGTGCTCCCAGTGCACTTCATTCATTCCACATGGGGACAATAGAAGGCTTTCTGGGAGAACGGATGATGGCAGCCCTGTTATAGAAAGACTTCCAATCTTCCCAGCCTGACCAACATGGTAAAACCCCATCTCTACTAAAAATACAAAAATCATCCAGGCATAGTAGCACACCAGTAATCCCAGCTACTTGGGAGGCTGAGGCAGGAGAATCCCTTGAACCAGGAGGCAGAGGTTGCAGAGAGCAGAGATCGCGCCAACACACTCCAGCCTGGGCGACAGAGCGAGAGCAAGACTCCGTCTCAAAAAAAAAGAAACAAAGAAACAAGACATTAAAAGGAGAGCCCACTAGACTTTAAAATGTAAACTTTGTGCTGCAGAATTTCATGAAAAAGATGAAAGAGCAAACTACAGACTGGGAGAATACATTTGAAACCACATATCTGACAAAGAACTTGTATCTAAGATATATAAAAATCTCTGCAAACTCAACAGTAGGGAACACTTGTTCTATTTTATAGAATAAAGCCACGCACAGTGGCTCACACCTGTACTACCAGCAATTTGAAAGGCTGAGGCGGGTGGATCACTTGAGGTCGGGAGTTCGAGACCAGCCTGGCAAACATGGCAAAACCCTGTCTCTAACTAAAAATACAAAAATTAGCCAGGCCTGGTGGCATGTGCCTGTAGTCCCATCTACTCAGGAGGCTGAGGCACGAGGATCACTGGAACCCAGGAGGTAGAGGTTGCAATGAGCCTGGGCCACAGAGCGAGACCCTGTCTCAAAAAAAAGAAAAAGAAAAAAATTAAATAAACGGAATCATACTATGTGTAACTTCTGAGATTGGCTTATTTCACTCCGCATAAATTCCTGGAGAGTCAATCATGTGGTTGCTGTGATCTCAGATCACTGCAACCTCCGCCTTCTGGGATCAAGCAATTCTCCTGCCTCAGCCTCCCAAGTAGCTGGGTCTACACGTGCTCACCACCACACCCAGCTAATTTTTTGTATTTTTAGTAGAGACAAGGTTTCACCATTATTGGCCAGGCTGGTCTTGAACTCCTGACCTCAGGTGATCCACCCACCTCAGCCTCCCAAAGTGCTGGGATTACAGGCGTAAGCCACCACACCCAGCCTCTTTTTTTCTTTTTTTAAGAGACAGAGTCTCACTCTGTCGCTCAGGCTGGAGTGCAGCAGCATGATTACAGCTCACTGCAGCCTCGAACTCCTGGGCTCAAGCGATCCTGCCGCCTCAGTCTCCCAAGTAGCTGGGGACTACAGGCACGTGCCACCGTACCTGGCTGTACTTCACATTCAAAAAATGACAAAATTATAAAGATGGAAAACATAATAGCTGCCCATAGATAGAGATGGGAGAGGGGGAGGTGGCTATTGTTATTAAAGGGTAGCATGTGGGATTCTGGTGGTGGTGGGACTGTTCTGTATCTTGACTACGGTAATAGTCACACACACACCCATATGTGCCACATACTGCACTAAATCCATACACAACACCCAAACACACAAAAATCAGTGCATGCAAAACTGGCAAAAACTGAGTAAGTTCAACAGATGAGAGCAATGTCAATTTCCTAATTATATTACACTATAATTGGGCAAGATGTTGCCATTGGGACAAACAGATAAAGGATATATGAGATGTGTTATTTCTTCCAATTACATGTAAATCGAGATGTGTTATTTCTTCCAATTACATGTAAATCCATAATTATCTCAAAATAAGACAGTCAAAAAAAGGAGAATCCACCATCTGTTAGGGCTTTACTCCCGTTGTGACTTAACCAGAAATTATGCCTTCAGTGTTGTAACACATAGAGTACTTAGCTTGACAGGGCAGTTATCATTGTATCTCATGATTATCAATTCCGCACATTTTAGAAAAGAAACCCAAACATTTAACCTCTGTGTTTCAACAAATAGAGGCACCCAACAAACTTCTAAACTGTATAGTACTTACTTTTGTACACTGTGTAGCAGGTAAGAGGTCAACAAACACCTTAAGGTCTGTAAAACAACAAGGTTTATCGCCAAACTTTTTAAAATACTGGAACATTAATTCTTCTGGATCACCTGGGGGACGGGGAACAAAATCACTTTATTACTCATGAACAGAAGCAATTTCTATTTAAGTGAGAATTAATTTGAAAACATTCATTTCAATTAAAACAAAATTTTGCTTGCAACTGGTCCCAAGATAGCGGGTTATCTCAACTACTTGTTCAGTTACAGACTGAACTCATTGTTCTACTCTTTCCCCCTTTTCACCACTGCACCTGACTAGTCTTTAAAAGATAAAAAAATAGGCTGGATGCAGTAGCTCACACCTGTAATCCCACACTTTGGAAGACTAAGGCGGGCAATCCCTTGAAGTCAGGAGTTCAAGACCAGCCTGGCAACATGGTGAAACCCCATCTCTACTAAAAGTACAAAAATTAGCTGGGCGTGGCAGCACATGCTTGTAATCCCAACTGCTTGAGAGGATAAGGCAAAGGATCGCTTGAACCGAGAAGGTGGATGTTGCAGTGAGCCAAGATCATGCCACTGCACTCCATCCTGAGCAACAGAGCAAGACTCCATTCAAAAATTAAATTAAATTAAGTTAAAGATTATAAAATAGGCTGGGTGCAGTGGCTCATGCCTGTAATCCCAGCACTTTGGGAGGCCAAGGCAGGAGGATCACCTGAGGTCAAGAGTTCGAGACCAGCCTGGCCAACATGGAGAAACTCGTCTTGACTCAAAAATACAAAATTAGCTGGACGGGGTGGTGTGCACCTGTAATCCCAGCTACTAGGGAGGCTGAGGCAGGAGAACTGTTTGAACCTGGGAGGCGGAAGTTGCAGTGAGCCGAGACTGCGCCACTGCACTCCAGCCTGGGCGACAGAGAGAGACTCCATCTCAAAAAAAAAAACAAAACTGTAAGCTAGGCCGGGTGCAGTGGCTCATGTCTGTAATCCCAGCACTTCGGGAGGCCAAGGTAGGGAGATCACTTGAGTCCAGGAGTTTGAGACCAGCCTGGGCAACATGGCAAAACCCCATCTCTACTGAAAATACAAAAATTAGCCAGGTGTGGTGGCGATCGCCTGTAATCCCAGCTACTTGGGAGGCTGAGGCAGGAGAATCACTTGAACCCAGGAGGCAGAGGTTGCAGTGAGTGGAGACTACACCACTATACTCCAGCATGGGCAACAGAGGGAGACACTGTCTCAAAAATAATAATAATAAAATAAAAACCTGTAAGCAAATTCTTAGTATGAGCAAAGAATTACTGCTTTCTTTTAGGGAGGTGGTAGTTTTTCCAGCAAAATTGTGAACTAGTACAATGACGATATCCTTTACTTATTGAGCAATAAGATCATAAAGAATCATTTTATAAAAAGATCTAAGGGCTTCATCAAATTTCCTGAAGGATTCTCTCAATGCTTTACTATCCACATCATTCTTTTCTGCTATCTTGTCATTATCCTAGTAAATTTTCTCTTCAGTTATAAATTGCTAATTCCACCAAATATTCTTTTGTCAATAGTTTTGTGAGTGCTTCAAGCAGATTTTCAAGAAACCTTTCATCCACTTCATGAAACTTTTCCCAAACTGGCAATTTTACTTTGAAGTTGATTTTGACTTTATTGTTTTTGACTGTTTTTATTTTTTTTTAATTTTTTGTTGTTTTGCGACAGAGTCTCGCTGTGTCACCCAGGCTGAAGCTGGAGTGCGGTGGCGCGATCTTGGCTAACTGCAACCTCCATCTCTTGGTTCAAGCGATTCTTGTGTCTCAGCCTCCCGAGTAGCTGAGACACAGGTGCACGACACCACGCTCAGATAATTTTTTGTTTTTGTTTGTTTTTGAGACAGAGTCTCACTCTGTCACCCAGGCTAGAGTGCAGCGGCAAGATCTCAGCTCATCACAACCTGTACCTCCCAGGTTCAAGCAATTCTCCTGCCTCAGCCTCCCAAGTAGCTGTAACTACAGGCGTGTGCCACCATGCCTGGCTAATTTTTGTATTTTTAGTAGAGACGGTGTTTCACCATGTTGGCCAGGCTGGTCTTGAACACCTGACCTCAGGTGATCCGCCCGCCTTGGCCTCCCAAAGTGCTGGGATTATAGGCATGAGCCACCACATCCACCCAATTTTTTGTATTTTTAGGAGAAACGGGGTTACGGCCATGTTGGCCAGGCTGGTCTTGAACACCTGACCTCAGGTGATCCGCCCACCTCGGCCTCCCAAAGTGCTGGGATTATAGGCATGAGCCACCACATCCACCCAATTTTTTGTATTTTTAGCAGAAACGGGGTTACGGCCATGTTGGCCAGGCTGGTCTTGAACTCCTGAGCTCAGGTGTTCCGCCCACCTCGGCCTCCCAAAGTGCTAGGATTACAGGTGTGAGCCAATGCACCCAGCCAGGTTTTTTTATTTTTTTAAATTAAATTTTTGAGACAGGTTCTGGCTGTGTCGCTCAGGCTGGAGTGAAGGCACGATCTCAGATCACTATAACCTCTGCCTCCTGGACTCAAGAGACTCTCCTGCCTCAGCCTCCTGAGTAGCTGGGACTACAGATGTGCGTCATTATGCCCAGCTAATTTTTTTGTATTTTTTGTAGATGGGGTTTCACCATGTTGCCCCAGCTGATCTCCAACTCCTGAGCTCAAGCAATCCACCCACAACAGCCTCCCAAAGTGCTGGGATTACAGGCGTGAGACACCGCAACCAGCTGATTTTGACTTTATTGTTGGGTCAGCAACAGAATGCCTGACAAAGACTCTGACGGAACAGGGAGATAAGTTAATGTTAAGCCAAGGTGAATATATGATAAAGGACTAATTTTATAAGTGATCCATTCATTAGCAAATATTTTCAGGCTATGAAGACATCTGCTTCCCAAACATGACTCTGTCCAGTGTAGATCTCAACTAATGAATATAGCACTTGGGTATTAAGGGCATTCTCCAGGCTTACCAGATATCATGGTTTCTTACCCAGTTTGTACTCATCGTTACAACCTTGACTTCGTAAACGCCTAATCAGCTCCAATTTAGCTAGATGTGGTCCTCGGAGATGGCGAGAACTTTTAGATTCTTCCGTTATCCGATCTTCTATAAACTTCACAGCTTTTTCTGCAGAATAATGTACTTCTCCTTCTAAAGAGCTGAGGAAAAGCACATGAAAAAGGAATTTTATTGCCTCTATTGTCCTTCCCGAAGCTTAAAGTCAAGCCAAACTCATTTAAAAAGAGAAAAACGACTTTGATAATATAAAATAATAGAAAAAGGAATAAAAGAGAACTATGAACATATTCTAACAGATAACATGTTATAAGATTACTCTCAATTTTGGCATTTGATTACTGCAGCATAACTTACCTTTTTAAAAAAAGAATGCATAATTTTGTATATATGAAATACTGCCTGGCTGGGCGTGGTGGCTCACGCCTGTAATCCCAGCACTTTGGAAGCCTGAGGTGGGCGGATCACTTGAGGTCAGGAGTTCGAGACCAGCCTGGCCAAGATGGTGAAACCCCATCTCTACTAAAAGTATAAAAAACTAGTCGGGCGTGGTGGCATGCACCTGTAGTCCCAGCTACTCAGGAGGCTGAGGCAGGAGAATCGCTTGAACCCAGGAGGGAGAGGTTGCAGTGAGCTGAGATCACGCCACTGCACTCCAGCCTAGGTGACAGAGAGAGATTCCATCTCAAAAAAAAAAAAAAGAAAAGAAAAAAAAATTGCCTAATAAAAATATAAGGCTGGGTGTGGTGGCTCACACCTAAAATCCCAGCACTTTGGGATGCTGAGGTGGGAGGACTGCTTGGGCCCATGAGTTTGAGACCAGCCTAGGCAATGCATGGAGACCCCATCTCTACAAAAAATTTAAAGCAGCCAATTGTGGTGGCACACACCTGTAGTCTCAGCTACTTGGGAGGCTGATGTGGGATGATCACTTGAGCCTGAGAGGCAGAGATTACAGTGGGAGGCAAGATTACACCACTGCACTCCAGACTGGGTGACAGAGCAAGACCCCATCTCAAAAAGAAAAAAAGGCCAGGCACGGTGGCTCACACCTGTAATCCTAGCATTTTGGGAGGCCAAGGCAGGTGGATCACTTGAGCTCACGAGTTCAAGATCAGCCTGGGCAACATGGTAAAACCCCATCTCTACAAAAAATACAAAAATTAGCCAGGCGTGGTGGCTCATGCCTGTAGTCCCAAGCTGCTTTTGGGGCTGAGGCAAAAGGATCACTTGAGCCCAGGAGGCAGAGGTTGCAGTGAGCCAAGATCACACAACTGCACTCCAGCCTAGGTGACAGAGTGAGACCCTGTCTCAAAAAAAACAAAAATTAAAAATTAAATACACACACACACACACACACACACATATATTTTTGAGATGGGGTCTTGTACATTTTATTGCTTTAAGAATGAAAACTGAGAAAAATTAGGTAACCTAGTTAATATTACGAAGCAAGCATCAGCTCATAACTGTCATCTTGAATTTTACTTCTGTATTAATTTTTTAAAAGATCCCATTTATTCACTTTTTTTTGAGAGGGAGTCTTGCTCTGTCGCCCAGGCTGGAGTGCAGTGGCACGATCTCGGCTCACTGCAAGCTCCGCCTCCCGGGTTCACGCCATTCTCCCTCCTCAGCCTCCAGAGTAGCTGGGACTACAGGCGCCCGCCACCACGCCCAGCTAATTTTTTGTATTTTTAGTAGAGATGGGGTTTCACCATTCACAGGATGGTCTTGATCTCCTGACCTTGTGATCCGCCCGCCTCCACCTCCCGAAGTGCTGGGATAACAGGCGTGAGCCACTGTGCCCGGCCCCATTTATTCATTTAACTCTAGATGCCTATAAAAAGGAAAAAAAATTTATTGTAGTACTGCCTACAATAGCCAATAACAAAAGGACAAAGGAAAAAAAAAGAGATCTTCAAAAATCCAAGTATCATCAATAGGGAAAATGCTAAATGAATTATGGTACATCTGGAGTACTCTTAAGCCACTGGGGGGAAAAAAAATGAAAGAGATCTACATGTACCAGAAATGAAAGATGTTCAAGATATATTTCAAGGCTGAAAAATAACAGGTTGCAAATCGTGTCTAATACAATCCCATTTTTATATTAAATATAAGAATAATTAAGCCGGGCGCAATGGCTCACACCTGTAATCCCAGCACTTTGGGAGGCTGAGATGCTGAGATGGGTGGATCACCTGAGGTCAGGAGTTTGAGACCAGCCTGGCCAACACGGTGAAACCCCGTCTCTACCAAAAATACAAAAAGTAGCTGAGCACGGCGGTGGGCACCTATAGTCCCAGCTATTCGGGAAGCTGAGGCAGGAGAATCGCTTGCTTCTGGGAGGCAGAGGTTGCAGTGAGCCAAGATCGTGCCATTGCACTCCAGCCTGGGTGACAAGAGCCAAACTCCATCTCAAAAAAAAAAAAAAAAAAAAAAAGGAGAAAAAGAAAAATTATCTTAGCATAAAGATGGAAATAAATCTCACGGAAAGGCACCAAACTATTAACAAGAGTTATTTTTGGAATGGTAGGATAAGTGGAAATTAGCACACCACATATTTTGGCACTAACATGATTTTTAGAATGAACTTGTGTATTTTATACTTTAAAAAATATGAAAAAATGTCTTACTTTGAAAGGAATACTTTATTGAGACAGAAAAAGAGAATTCAATTGGCTTATAATGAAATCCTTTCACTACACTATATTAAAAAGTGCTGTTATAATTCAGGAAAGAAGACAACTTACTGTTCACCTTCAGCAGGAGGACTCCAGGCCTCTTCAATCAGTCGAAAGACAGAATCGAAATAAGTCAGATAGAACTGCCAGTCATCTGAGCTAAAATCAGATTGAATGATGCACACAGGATTAAACCCAAGTTGTGACAGATCTTCCTTAGGAACCATGATATTCAATTTATTTTGTAAGTTATATTTTAGTATGTAGTAGGTTGGCTTACCCCCACCCACTCCATGTTTCCTTTGCAAATCTAAAAGGGCATTTTCAAAGTAATACTACTTTGTATTTGTAAAGAGTAGTAAACTACTCTTTCCTTCAATAAAATGACCAGGTCTAGAAAACTAATATTCATAACAGAAAAGTCCCCACATAAGCACTTCCAAAATAGAGGGAAGGGGAGAGAAGTGTTGTAGCAAAGAATGAAGCCTCTCTCTTTTAGGGGAATACTGAATTTGAGAAATTAATGATTTTCAGTGTTCATTCTTAAGCCCTAACTAGAATTCAGCACCATGGTGGCACAAGTATCTTTTTTTTTTTTTTGAGATGGAGTCTCATTGTTGTCACCCAGGCTGGAGTGCAGTGGCATGATCTCAGCTCACTGCAACCTCTGCCTCCCAGGTTCAAGCGATTCTTGTGCCTCAGCTTCCCGAGGGGCTGGGACTACAGGCACGCACCACCACAACTAGCTAATTTTTGTATTTTCAGTAAAGACAGGGTTTCGCCATGTTGGCCAGGCTGGTCTCAAACTCCTGACCTCAAGTGATCTGCCCACCTTGGCCTCTCAAAGTGCTGGGATCATAGGCATGAGCCACCATGCCCAGCCTACAAGTACCATTATAATACTCTACTGAAAGATGAAGGCTCCTTAAAAACTTTTAGAAACATGCAGGACACAACTACTATAAGAAGACTTTATGCCCAGAAACTTCAAAACACAGACACCAAGAAAATCAATAGTGAGGTCTTAAAGCCTCACTACAGTCAAATGGTACAAAAGAAAGCTTTTACTCACTTTTTTAGTAAGAGGCGCCGGGAAAGGGCATTGCACTCTGGCCACCTGCTCAGCTTCTTGTACATAGCCATGCATTTATTTTCCCGACTCTGAATCTCACTTGTCAACTTCTCTAAAATCAAAAGTTATAAAAGTTGGTAAGCTGGTTTCATTTCTGCTCAATAACCAGAATAGAGTCCAACCACAAGAAGGAAAATGTCACATTTTCTTTTCTTTTTTTTTGAGATGGAGTTTCACTCTTGTCACCCAGGCTGGAGTGCAATGGCACGATCTTGGCTCACTGCAACCTCCACCTCCTGGATTCAAGCGATTCTCCTGTCTCAGCCTCCCAAGTAGCTGGGATTACAGGCATCTGCCACCACGCCTGGCTAATTTTTGTATTTTTAGTAGAGACAGGATTTCACCATGTTGGCCAGGCTGGTCTTAAACTCCTGACCTCAGGTGATCCACCCATCCCAGCCTCCCAGAGTGCTGGGATTACAGCTGTGAGCTACCGGGCCCGGCCTAAATGTCACATTTTCTTATTCACTCTCTTAGAAAATGGGACCACTATTACATACAAACTACTACTATCTTATTAAAGATTATTTTACTTCAAAGAAAAAAGTACATTACTGACAGTAAATTTTTATAATCATTTTCTTTGTAAAAGGATAGGTTTCACAATGTATTGGGTTGAACATCTATTAATAGTACATGGGATATACTTATAAAATCCCAACAGCATCTAGGGACTAGTAAATTTAGTCCATAGACAAGCTGCCCATCCATACAGTTCCAAAACATCAAAGAGGACTGAGCTGACATGAGCTAAGAAAGATGAGATGTTGGAAGAAGACAAAAAAGAGTGGAGAGGAATCAAATCTTTCCAAACAACTGAAAACAAAAAAACTAGGATGATAGTTCTGACCAAATTAGATTTGCCCAACTGTTTAGCAGATTAAGGATACCAAAAATTACATTATGAATTTCCTGTTGAGAATCTAACTTTTTACTATCCATAGAGCTATAATGTAGTTTAAAAAAAAAAAAGGGCCAGGCCTGACAGGTCACACCTGTAGTAATCCCAGCACTTTGGGAGGCTGAAGCAGGCAGATCGCTTGAGACCAGGAGTTCGAGACCAGCCTGGGCAACATATTGAGACCCCACCTCTACAAAAAATATAAAAATTAGCCAGGTTTGATGGCATACGCCTGGAGTCCTAACTATTTAGGAGGCTGTGGTGAGAGGATAACTTAAACCCAGGAGATCAAGGCTGCAGTGAGCTGTGATGATGCCACTGCATTCTAGCCTGGCTAACAGAGCAAGGCCCTGTCTCAAAAACAACAACAACAACAAAAAAAAACAAGAAGTTTCTTGTGAGTAGCCTAAATATCCATCAAAAACTGGTTAAGTAAATTTCTACATTCACACTGTGGAACACTGGACAGTTATTAAAGGAGTGAGGTAGTGAACTTTATCTCTAGGAAATACTATTTAGTTAAAATAATAATAATAATAATAAAATAATGGAGGCCAGGCGTGGTGGCTCACACCTGTAATCCCAGCACTTTGGGAGGCAGAGGCAGGCAGATCACTTGAGGTTAGGAGTTTGAAACCAGCCTGGCCAACATGTTGAAACCCCGTCTCTACTAAAAATACAAAAATTAGCTGGGCGTGGTGGTGTGTGCCTGTAGTCCCAGCTACTCACGAGGCTGAGGCAGGAGAATCACTTGAACCCAGGAGGCAGAGGTTGCAGTGAGCCGAGATCGCACCACTGCACTCTAGCCTGGCCACAGAGTGAGACTCTGTCTCCAAAAAAAAAAAGAAAGAAAGAAATAATGGAGCCCAGTGTGGTGGTGTGTGCCCGTCGTCCTAGCTACTTGGGAGGCTGAGATGGGAGAATCACTTGAGCCCAGGAGTTCAAGTCCAGCCTGGGCAAAACAGTGAGACCTCATCTCTTTAAAATAAATAAATAAATAATAAAAATAAAGTATGGGTATAAGAGTATGCACAGCAGAGGTCACAAACTCAAATGCCTTCATAAGACAGACATACAAATAAAGAAGGAATGTTTGCGGTATCTACAGAGTACAAATCCTGACTAGAGGGGCATTAATTAATTTAAAATTTTTAAAGAAAAATTTTTTTTAAATAAAAACATTGTGCTAACTGAATAAGATTATTCTATGAGCCAGGTATATTATGTTTTCATTCGTGTTTAAAAAAAAAAGTGGGGAAGATGAATCTTTACAAGAATATAAAGTGTAACTGGAGGAAAACCTAGGGGAAGACGGCTAGAGATCTGGAGTATAACCTTTCACACTCCTTGAAGTTTCTGAATCTGTTATTTTCAAGTAAAAACATTTTTAAAAATAAATTTACAACATACAGAAAAGTCTGGAAGAATATAACAAAATGATCAAAAGTGTTTATGTCTTTATATCCTTATGTGGAAATTTTCTACAATAAACATTTTTCATGTTTAAATAGGAAAAAAAAAAAGCTTTAAGAAAATGTTTAAAAATTACCTCCTAATTTCCCTCTGATGACATCCAAGGCCTCCTGGTACTTTCCCAAACGTTCCAGGATCATATAATAAAGTTCAACCTTACAGAAAAAAAACAAGAAGTGCAACCTCTGAAACTTTTCAATAATAAAAAGACAGTCATTTATAGGTTTTTAAAAAGTTATTTAATAGAGCATGTCTTCAAATGAGATGAAACTGACAGTACGAAGCAGGTAACAGGATCTTCTCCATCTATATCTCTCCCGTCTATACACATCTCAGCCTAGAGTACTTGCTGGAAACAGGTCAGTGATTAGACCTACGCTGAGGGCTTCAGATTTACCCAAAGGCCAAAAGTGAGGACCCAGCTATCAAACTGGAACAAAACAACAGTTCATAGTATTATAACATAATATTGTAGCACTAGCAAAAAAATGAAAACACAAAAGTAAGGCTTAAAATACTCACTTCAGCCTCAGCTTCTATCTTGTCCTCTTTCACCATTTTTTCGACCATTCTCTCAGCAAGGGGCAGAAACATTGTTTTTGAGAGGTTTTCATCCTGTGCCGATATAGACTGAAAGAAGAAAAATAATGTTTCATTCTAATTCTCCCCTGCTTGCACTATTGATATTAACATTACTGTTAATTGGGCACATAATTATCAATCCACCATGTCAAATATCAGACCTAATATGAATTCCCTGCCAAGGAGGTACATTACGGAGCAGTTTGTTTTACAAAAGATTTCTTTGCTAAAGATTCATTATCCTATGTGTTCTTGAAATACTGAGCTTCCACAATACAACCTAGCATTTAAGTCGGTTATTTATACATTTTTCTAGAAGAATGTAAAGAGGGAGCATGCCTATGCTGTTTATTATTTATGAGTATTATCAGGTATTTGAAGAGGAAAGCCTTCCAGGTATCTTTGAGATGTTCACATACTAGAAGAGAAATGCCAATTCCTTTCATTACACAGTTTACTAGTAGCTAGTTACCTTAAATTGGTAACAACAATTAACACATGAAATTAATAAAGTTAATAACACCAGATTCTGCTCACAGCTCACTTAACCCTTGTAAACAACCTTTCAAGGTAGATATTATGCTTATTTTACAAAGAAACTAAGGTTAGGCCAGGCGTGGTGGCTCATGACTGTAAACTTAACACTCCAGGAGGCTGGGGCAGGTGGATCCCTTGAGGCCAGAAATTTTGAGACCAGCCTGGCCAACATGGCAAAACCCCCGTCTCTACTGAAAAATAATTTAAAAAATTAGCTAGGTGTGTGTGGTGGTGCATGCTTATAATCCTAGCTACTTGGGAGGCTGAGACATGAGAATCGCTTGAACCTAGGAGGTGCAGTAAGCTGAGGTCATGCCACTGCACTCCAGCTTGGACAACAGAAAAAAAAAAAAACTAAGGTTAAGAAATTCCCCAGACAGCTTTACCAGACATGCGGTAAAGCTAATGTATGAAGGCAGACCTGTCTGACCCCATAACATCTGTTCTTAAACACTACTTTTAAATCCTTCCTCCCCATCCTCTCCTATACAGAATCTCACTTTGGTCCCTGGGAGAAAAGTGTCTCCTTTCTGCAAAAGAGCAAACTGAGGCTCAGAAAGGAGAAGTGATAAAAGAAGGCCACCCAGTTCAATGAGCCATTAACTAATCAGCAATATTGTCTTAAAAGCAAACCTCAAGTTGTAATATCAAACATTTCAAGGCTCATGCTTGATCAAGCAACCCAGCAATAGATTAGAGATTCAGGGGAAATACAGTCCATGCTACCCACAAATAAACTGATATACCAACTCATAAAGAATACTCAAGGGCCAGGCGCGGTGGCTCATGCCTGTAATCCCAGCACATTGGGAGGCCGAGGCGGGCGGATCACGAGGTCAGGAGATCGAGACCATCCTGGCTAACATGGTGAAACCCCATCTCTACTAAAAATACAAAAAAATTAGCCGGGCATGGTAGCAGATGCTTGTAGTCCCAGCTACTCAGGAGGCTGAGGCAGGAGAATGGCGTAAACCTGGGAGGTGGGGCTTGCAGTGAGCTGAGATCGCGTCACTGCACTCCAGCCTGGGTTAGAGCGAGACTCTGTCTCAAAAAAAAAAAAAAAAAAAAAACCCAAAAAACTCAAAACCCCTAACTTAAGTCAATTGACAACACAAAGTCCCTGTTTGACATGCTGCAACACATTACACAAAATGTTCACAGTCAGATACAGAGGCTCATGCCTGTAATCCCAGCACTTTGGGAGGCTGAGGCAGAAGGATTGCTTGAGGCCAGGAGTTCAAGACCAGCCTGGTCAAAAGAGTGAGACCCTGTCTCTACAACATTTTTTTGAGACAGAGTCTCGCTCTATCGCCAGGCTAGAGTGCAGTGACATGATCTCGGCTCACTGAAACCTCCGCCTCCTGGGTTCAAGCGACCCTCCTGCCTCAGCCTCCAGAGTAGCTGGGATTACAGGCACATGCCACCATGCCCAGCTAATTTTTATATTTTTAGTAGAGATGGGGTTTCACTATGTTGGTCAGGATGGTCTCGATTTCCTGACCTCGTGATCCACCCACCTTGGCCTCCCAAAGTGCTGGGATTACAGGCGTGAGCCACCACACCTGACCAAAAAATAAATTTTTTTTAATTAGCCAGGCAAGGTGGTGTGCACCTGTAGTCCCAGCTACTTGGGAGGTTGAGGTAGAGGGATTGCTTGAGCCTAGGAGGTCAAGGCAGCAGTGAGCTATGATTGCACCACTGCACTCCTGCCTGGGTGACAGCGTGACCCTGTCTCAAACAAAAAAAACCAGTTCAGAAGACACACTGAGGACAATAACTATATAAAAAATAAAACCAAACCTCAATCCCATTCTGAATGCCATACTCACTTGCATAATTAAGCTCATCACAGACCAAAAGTAGTAGGGATTTTTGGGGACAATCTTATATAGAGCCATGCCAGCCTAAAAGAGAACCATAAATATTTTATTTAGAAAACACCATACAGAAGGGGATTAATGATCTAGATACACGACAAAAAGTTTCTTGGGAGAACAGCAATATATTTACATATCCCAGTTAGTGTAAATTCCTAGTGACTTGATGGCTTTAGCAACAGCAGTAATCACAAAGGTGAATTTTCATGTTATGAGTGATACTTTACTTTTTGAACCAGAATTTACTAAAATTAAAGTCCAACATTTCCAGAATATGCTGCAATCCAATATAGTTCTAGGAGACTACAAAGCAAACACAAAATTTGGCTTGTAAGTGTACATCAATAAACTTTACTTAAGATACCATACTAACCAGTTATTAGCAAAAACAAATAAACATGCCCAGAGAATATACTTAAACTTCAATATCAGAAAAGATTACCATGCCATAATTCAAAAATTCTTCTTAGCTTAGGAAAATAATATGGTTCCTTCAAGATTCCAATAATTAGAACTGAAATCTTTCATTATGAAATGTATAATATGCAAATACTTAAAAGCAAGAACATGCTTTTAAAAAAGAATAGACCTATTCAAGCATAATTGAGACTCTATCCATAATTAGCCAACTAGTAATTGATGCTAAAAACTCCATCAGGTAATTTTCATATGTTTTTTAATCTTTTGCCTACTGCCAATCTAATTCAAAAATTACATGGAGGTCCTATGAAGTAGAAGAAACTATCTATTCCTGACAAAGATTCAAAGATCGCGTCCCTGTCCCAAAGGCATTTAAAAGCGGGGGAGAAAACAAATACATAAATGACTGAAATGTATTTAGCAATAAAAATAAATGTCCTGGGCCAGGCGCAATGGCTCATGCCTGTAATCCCATCACTTTGGGAGGCCGAGGCTGGCAGATCATCTGAGGTCAGGAGTTCGAGACTAGCTGAGCCAACATGGAGAAACCCCATCTCTACTAAAAATACAAAAATTAGCTGGGCGTGGCAGCAGGGACCTGTAATCCAAGCTACTTGGGAGGCTAAGACAGAATCGCTTGAACCCGGGAGGCAGAGGTTGCAGTGAGCAGAGATCGTGCCACTGCACTCTAGCCTGGGCAACAGAGTAAGACTTTGTCTCCAAAAAATAAATAAATAAAAATAAAAAATAAATGTCCTAGGCCAGCCATGATGATTCATGACTGTAATCCCAACACTTTGGGAGGTTGAGACAGGAGGATCATTTGAGCCCAAGGAGATTGAGACCAGCCTGGGCAACATTGTAAAACCTTACACACACACATATATATGTATGTTAACCAGGGTGGTGGCAAGCACCTGTGGTCCCAGCTACTGGCAAGAGGCTGAGGTGGGAAGATCACCTAAGCCCAGGGAGGTCAAGGCTACAGTGAGCTATGATCACACTACTGCACTCCAGCCTGGGCAACAAATTAAAATCAAATCTGTCTCAAAATCAAAATAATAAAACTAAATATAAAAATAAATGTCCTATATAAAACACCATCCTAGGGTATTTCCAAGGAAGGCAAAATTGTTCATTTTCTTACCTCTTCTTTCTTTAAGGGAAAGTAGAGAGGAGAACATTATCATTAAAGCCCCTCCAAAGTAGCCATCTTTCAGATGACTTTGAAGGTCAAACATAACATGGTGGCAGGGGGCGGGGGGTGGGGGGTGCGGGGTGTGGTAACGATACATATAAAACTACAAATATTTGAGGTGAATGGGTAAATGTATCAACGCGAAGTAGGAGAAAAATGAGTCTGAACAAAAAACATTCAAGAAAGTAAAGGGATGTATGCTGATAAAACAAGTAGGATGTCTGGCTAAAACAATTAAGAGTAGCAGGAAAAGTGTTGAAAGGTAGACCAAGGTACTTTTGTTGTAAGGTATTAAAAAAGGAGCCTATACAGAATAGAGAAGTGATATTTATAAATCTATACTCTTCTAGGAACAGTATCTCAGCAGTACTGTGAAGAGACAAAATAGGAAGAAAGAAAAGGTGAGGTGATGAGGCACAAAACCAGGATGGGGTAGATCAAATAGAAAAGAAACCTGGAAAGATACAGCAGAGGCTGGGCACCGTGGCTCACGCCTGTAATCCCAACACTTTGAGAGGCCAAGGCAGGAAGATCACCTGAGGTCAGGAGTTCGAGACCAACTTGGCCAATAAAGTTAAGGTAAAAGATAAAAGTAATGGTGAAACCCCAACTCTACTAAAAATATGAAAATTAACTGGGCGTGGTGGTGGGTGCCTGTAATCTCAGCTGCTCAGGGAGCTGAGGCAGGAGAATCGCTTGAACCCAGGAGGTGGAGGTTGCAGTGGGCCGGAATTGCACCACTGCAATTCAGCTGGTGCTGAATTGCACTCCAGCCTGGGCGACAAGAGTGAAACCCCATCTCAAAGAAAAAAAAAAGATACAGCAGCGGCAGAATAAACATGATCTAGAGACGACAAGGACATACAGGATAGGAGAGTCTAAGATGGCTTGAGGCACCTGCTTCTAACACTGGGGTACGTATACTCCACAGGTATAAAATGAAAAATGTTAGGAAATTCCATTGATCCCTGGGAAGATTTTACAATCAAAAGAAAAAATAATAATTTTGTCTTTGAGTTAGAAAACCGGCTGGGTACAGTGGCTCATGCCTGTAATCCCTGCACTTTGGGAAGCCAAGGCAGGAGGACTGCTTGAGCCCAGCAATTCAAGACCAGCCTGGGAAACATAGCGAAATCCCAACTCTACAAAAAATGAATAAATGCTTAAAAATAAATAAAAGTTAGGAAATTCATTTTACTTGAGAATATGGGAAAACATTTTTACAATGACATACAGAGATAAAAATATATAACATTAGAATATGAATTAATATAAAATGCAAGGCAAAAATTTCATGTCCATACCCTATGATCTTGCAGGCTCTGATAATCTGCTGAAACAAAATTTTTGATGACAGACAAGTTTAAAAACATGGATCTAAGTTGGTGACTCAGAATGAGAATGTCATTTACAGGAAAAGAAAAGCCTTATCACCATATGAATAACTAGCTACTCTTCATTTATGGTGGTTTCAAAATCACCAGCCAGAGATGTTATTTGGGGCAGCAGAAGCTCTTAAGTTTCCCTCCCTCCTACCTCCACGAGTTTATACAAATCATTTATTTGCTTAACAAATTATTGTGCAGATGCTATTCTAGGCAATGGAAAATCAACAATGAACAAATCAAACAAAAACCTTCATCCATATGAAACATGACATTAAATGTGTGAAATACCTATTACCTCAGACTGACATTCCACACTCAAAATAAACATACTTAAGCTAAGAAATTGTAACTTCCTTAAGCAGCAATAATGACAGTATAAAAATTAGCCAGGCGTGGGCGGGGCACAGTGGCTCACGCCTGTAATCCCAGCACTTTGGGAGGCCAAGGTGGGCGGACCATGAGGTCAAGAGATCGAGACCAGCCTGGCCAGCATGGTGAAACCCCATCTCTACTATAAATACAAAAAATTAGCTGGGCTTAGTGGCGCGTGCCTGTAGTCCCAGCTACTCGGGAGGCTGAGACAGGAGGATCTCCTCTTGAACCTGGGAGGTGGAGGTTGCAGTGAGCCAAGATCACACCACTGCACTCCAGCCTGGAGACAGAGCGAGACTCCATATCAAATAAATAAATAAATAAAAATTAGCCAGGTGCAGTGGCTCACGCCTGTAATCCCAATATTTTGGGAGGCTGAGGCAGGTAGATCACTCGAGGTCAGGAGTTCGAGACCAGCCCGGCCAACATGGTGAAACCCCATCTCTATTAAAAATACAAAAATTAGGTGGGTGCAGTGGCTCACGCCTGTAATCCCAGCACTTTGGGAGGCTGAGGCAGGTGGGTCAAGAGGTGAGGAGTTCGAGACCAGCCTGACCAACATGGTGAAACCCCATCTCTACTAAAAATATAAAAATTAGCTAGGCATGGTGGTGTGCACCTGTAATCCCAGCTATTCAGGAGGCTGAGGCAGGAGAATCGCTTGAACCCAGGAGGCGGAGGTTGCAGTGAGCCAAGATCACACCACTGCACTCCAGCCTGGGCGACAGAGCAAGACTATATCACACACACAAAAAAATTAGCCAAGTGTGGTGGCAGGCACCTGCAATCCCAGCTACTCGGGAGGCAGAGGCAGGAGAATCTCTTGAACCTGGGAGGCAGAGTTTGCAGTAAGCTGAGATCACGCCACAGCACTCCAGCCTGGGTGACAGAGAGAGTCTGTCTATCTCAAAAAAAGAAAAAGAAAAAAGAAAGAAAAGAAGTATATCTTTTTTGAGGACAACATGAGAAGAATGGGAAGAGAAGGTCATTTTACAACCTGCTTGTCTCAATTAACATATACTAGGAACATCTTTATATGTCAACCATATAAAGACACCCAGTATTATTTGGAGAGATGTGGGAATGTATTTTATGTACCATAGGGATGAACTATAACTTCTTTTACTCTATCCTTATGAATGAATATTTAATATACTTTGCTTAAAACATAATCTTACAAATAAAAATGATATTAAGGATTTATATGTATATATGTTAGCATTGCCAATTTTAAAAAATATACCCATTTTATGGCTGGGCACAGTGGCTCACGCCTGTAATCCCAGCATTTTGGGAGGCAGAGGCGAGCGGATCATGAGGTCAGGAGTTCGAGACCAGCCTGGCCAACATGGTGAAACCCCGTCTCTACTAAAAATACAAAAATTAGCCGGGTGTGGTGACATGTGCCTGTAGTCCCAGTACTTGAGAGGCTGAGGCAGAAGAATCGCTTGAACCCGGGAGGTGGAGGTTGCAGTGAGACGAGATCATACCACTGGATTCCACCCTGGGTGACAGAGTGAGACTGTCTCAAAAAAAAAAAAAAAAAAAAAAAAAAAAAAAAAAAAAATATATATATATATATATATATACACACACACACACACACACACACACACACCCATAACCATTTTACATTTTTAAAAATTATAATGTCTAAATACCTTTCAGTAAATAAATTAACAAAATGTTATTAAATAATTACATTGGGACCCCTCAAAAAATTTCTCCAGCTGGGCGCACTGGCTCACATCTGTAATCCCAGCATTTTGGGAGCCCAAGGTGGGTGGATCACTTGAGGTGAGGAATTTGAGACCAGCCTGGCCAACATGGTAAAACCTCGCCTCTACTAAAAACACAAAAATTAGCCAGGTATGGTGGTGTGTACCTGTAATCCCAGCTACTCGGGAGGCTGAGGCAGGAGAATCGCTTCAACCTGGGAGGCCAGGTTGCAGTGAGCCGAGATCGTGCCACTGCACTCCAGCCTGGGCAACAGAGCAAGACTCCATCACAAAAAAGAAAAAAGAAGAAAAAAACTTCTCCTATGTTAAAACTTGCATAAACTTAAAATATAGAGACTGATTTTAAGAAAGAGTTTATATTAATATAGTATCTGCCACCCTGCCCAAATTATCTATTGTTATAACTTGATATTTAATGTAAAGAATAAGATAAAAATCCAAAAAATTTTGCCTTCAGAAGATATTATACCCACAAAGAAAGCATTTCTAAAAAAGTACTAGCTTGGGCTGGGTGTGGTGGCTCATGCCTGTAATCCCACCACTTTGAGAGGCCGAGGCGGGCAGATCACCTGAGGTCGGGAGTTTGAGACCAGCCTGACCAACATGGAGAAACCCTGTCTCTATTAAAAATACAAAATTAGCCAGGAGTGGTGGCGCAAGCATGTAATCCCAACTACTCAGGAGGCTGAGGCAGAATAGCTTGAACCCAGGAGGCAGAGGTTGCAGTGAGCCAAGATCGCACCATTGCACTCCAGCCTGGGCAACAACAGCAAAACTCCATCTCCAAAAAAAAAAAAAAAAAAAAATACTAGCTTAACATCAGAGCCATTTATGGAATTAATAATGCTGATTATATTTCTCTGAGATGTTAGCTTTACCCGCAACCTAATTCAAATGTGTTCAAATGAGGCTCCTTCAGATGTATGTAAAGAATATCTACAATATGGTAGCTGCCAAATAAGCTGCCTCAAACCAAAAAACAAAAAACAAAAAATAAATTTAAAAAGAAACATCCCAGGCAACAAGGATTTTCCCCCTGGTGGACTTAAAAATCTTAGCAGGCTATCAACAGTTTAAATTTACAAATTAGATGTAAACTTTAAAGTTACTCTTTCCATAGTTGTTCATTTTTTGCTCTGGTATATCTGCTCATTTTCTGAAAATTTAACAGCAATCTGATGCAGTAGGACAATCTGAAGCTGAATTACCAAAACCAAACAAAACATAACATCAGGCCACAAAAGAACAATCAACTTATTTCCAAATAAAACATTTAAAGATCTTGAATAATAGTTCAACTTTAAACACATAAGGAAAACAACTGACTGACCTCCACACAGAAAAATCCATAAATTCAATTCTACACACACACATACCCAGTGCAGTTAAATCACAAGAAAGAGACTTTTGCCTCTAATAGTAAATCCCATAGCCCAGTAGGTTTGGGGATCAAATTACCTGTTGCATTTTCTTGTATTCACCCACTCTGGCATAGGCCATGAAGAGGTGAGAGTGATACTCCTCACTATTGGGAACTTTCTTCACAGCTGCCTCATAAAGTTTTGTAACTAACTCCGCTAAGATAAAGAGAAATAAGATTTAAGTTATACTTCAAGAACATTCTAATGGCATTTAATGTTCTTCCTATTTGGCAGAAATAGATGTCTCCTATCATTATAGAAGAAGTATCTGCTTTGCCTCATCCAATCATCATTCATCTCTTGGTTAGGTGGTGTTTAAATGAAGCATGGAATAGGTCAAGCCTTCTCATAGCATTTACAACATATAAGACCTTATAGGATCTGGCCTCTGTCTCCTCTTTCCCTCAGCACTTTATCATGTAGCCACAAACTATTTGTAGTTCCACCAGATTCTCTGGGATGTATCATACATAACTCTATGCCTCTAAACTCTTCGCTCTGCCTGAATTCTCCTTTTCTCTCTTTTATCTTAGTGAACATCAGCCAAGACCCAATTCAAATGTAAGCTGAACTGTAAGACTTTCTCTGAACACCATCTCTGCTTCTCCACTGCAATTTGACCACTGCCTCCCTCTGCCATCTTGGAATCTTATATAAGTAAGTATATTGTAGTTTTTTTTTTTTTTTTTTTTTTTTTTGGAGATAGGTTCTCACTCTGTCGCCCAGGCTGGAGTGCAATGGCACAATCACGGCTCACTGCAGCCTCGACCTTTCAAGCTCAGGTAATTCTCCGACCTCAGCCTCCCAAGTAGCTGTTCTGCAGGCACATACCACCACAACTGGCTTATTTTTTATATAGACAGTGTTTCGCCATGTTGCCCAGGCTGTACTATAGCATTTATTAACACATAATGTAGTATACTGTCTAGTGATCTATTTCCCCTTATAGACAATGAGTGCCATGACAACAGAAAGTGCTTTTTTTTTTTTTTTGGAGACAGAGTTTTGCTCGTTACCCAGGCTGGATTGCAATGGTGCGATCTCGGCTCACTGAAACCTCTGCCTCCTGGGTTCGAGTGATTCTCCTGCCTCAGCCTCCCAAGTAACTGGGATTACAGGCATGCATCACCACACCCGGCTAATTTTGCATTTTTAGTAGAGATGGGGTTTCTCCATGTTGGTCAGGCTAGTCTCGAACTCCCGACCTCAGGTAATCCACCCACCTCAGCCTCCCAAAGTGCTGGGATTACAGGCGTGAGCCACTGCGCCCGGCTGAAAGTGCATTTTTTATCTTTGACTCTGATAGAATACCAGTCATAGAGAAACATGCCACCAATATTTGTGGAGTAAATGATTTTTTTTAAAACACTGGAGAAGAATCCATATCCCTAAATCAACACAATCTGTAAATACTCAGATATAATACCTCAACTCTTAGGTTTTATCTTTTGTAAAAATTAAAAACAAAATTGAAGCTGAGCACAGTGCCTCGTGCCTATAATCCCAGCACTTTGGGAGGCTGAGGCAGGCGGATTGCTTGAGCCTAAGAGTCCAAACTAGCCTGGACAACACAGCAAAATCCTGTCTCAAAAGAAATTGGCAAAAATGATTAAGGTTACAAATACCAAATGTTACAATCTGAGCTATTTGAATGAATGAAGAGAGAAAGAATACCAAGTGTTGACAAGCATGTAAGCAATCAGAACTCAAAAACTGCTATTCTATTTATAAAAGAAGTTGACATTATCTTGCTTTAAGCTAAACATACACTTACCCCATGACTTGAAAATTCTACTCCTAGATATTGTAATGTAACCCAGTGAAATATTTTGTGGTAGTGAAAATGGATTAACTATAGCCACTTGGCTATTAGATGAAAAATGCAAGTCATAGAATATACATAGTACAGATGCACTAACAAAAGTTTAAAATTAAGCAAAACTAATAATGTATTACTAAGAGAAATAAATGTAATAAACATTTAAAGGGAAGCAAGAGAATAAAAAATATTCAGGATAGCGAGTAACTCTTGGTAGGTAAAAGGAGAATTAAGATTGATTGAGGAGGCCAGGTGCACTTGGCTCACGGCTGTAATCCCAGCTCTTTGGGAGGCCAAGGCAAGTGGATCACTTGAGGTAAGGAGTTTGAGACCAGCCCGGCCAACATGGTGAAACCCGTCTCTACTAAAAATACAAAAATTAGCTGGGGATGGTGGTGCATGCCTGTAATCCCAGCTACCTGGGAAGCCGAGGCAGGAGAGGATGCATGAACTCAGAAGGTGGAAGTTTCGATTCTCCTGCCTCAGCTTCCCAAGTAGCTGGGATTACAGGCGTGCACCACCACACCCAGTTAATTTTTGTATTTTTAGTAGAGACAAGGTTTCCCTATGTTGGCCGGGCTGTCTCTAACTCCTGACCTCAAATGATCTGCCAGCCTCGGCCATCCAAAGTGCTGGGATTACAAGTTTTAGCCACTACGCCTGGCAACGCTCCATTTCTTAAATTAGGTGGTAGGTTCATGAGTTTTCATTATTACACATCAAATGTACTTATATGTTACATAAACAAGATTATTGTATAATATGTACTATGAAAAATATGTATGATTTCACAATAAAATATTTAAGAAATTAACAATAAAAACCTTTATTTCAGAAGAAACAATGGACTACTTAGGATATGCTCTGAAGTAATCTGCCAGGGGAAAGGGTAAAAACAAAATAAAATGGGCCATGTGTTAATTGCTGAAGGTGGATAATGAGAACAATGGGGTTTATTATTCTATTCTATTTTTGTCTGCTTGAAATTTTCCATATTAAAAAGTGAAAATAAGGGTGAAGCCTCCATTTAGCAGATCAAAATATCACAAATGAAGTCACTTTAATTCTCATTCCAATTCAAGGATCCTAATGCATGTAAACTATCCTTTCTATCTACAGTTCTCGCAAACCCTGGCTAATGCGTTATTCTACCTACTGTATCCATTCAAATCATGAGTGAGAAATCAGACAAGGGCAAACAGTCAGAAATATCCAAAATTTTCAGCTCAAGTTTAAAAACAATGAAAAGAAAGAAACATACGTCGGTGCATCTCCCGGTAAAGGATAGTCAGTGCCTGCAGTGAGTTGTCATCTGTGGGTTCAAGGGCTGCCACCTCCTGTGCAAGAGTAAAGGCTTCCTCTTGCTTTCCAGTTCTCTGTAAACCAATTGCCTTTAAAACCTGATAGCAACAAAAGAAAAATCAGTTTTTAAAAAGACAGAAAAGGAAATATGAACCAAAGAAAGCCGATCTGAAAGAACAAGTATTAAGTTATGCCTAGGTTGCTGATATACTAGTTTCAGGCTGGGTGCGGCGGCTCACATCTGTAATCCCGGCACTTTGGGAGGCCAAGACAGGCACATCACTTGAGCCCAGGAGTTCAAGACCAGCCTGGGCAACGTGGTGAGACTCCATCTCTACAAAAAATAATAAAAAATTAGCTGGGTATGGTGGTGTGCACCCAGCTACTTGACAGGTTGAGATGGGAGGACTCCTCGAGCCCGGGAGGTTGATCACGTCACAGCACTCCAGCGTGGGTGACAGAAGGAGATCCTGTCTCGAAAAAAAAAAAAAAAGTGAACAATAGGACTGGCATGGTGCACTCATGCGTATAACACTTTGGGAGACTAAGGCAGGAGGATCACTTGAGCCCAGAACTTTGAGACCAGCCTAGGCAACACAGTGAGACCTCATCTCTAGAAAAAATTTGAAGGAAAAAAATAGGCCAGGTGCAATGGCTCACGAATGTAACCCCAGCACTTTGGAAGGCCGAGGCGGGAGGATTGCTTGAGCCCACAAATTCAAGACTAGCCTAGGTAGGCAACGTGGTGAGATCCCATTTTTACAAAAAGTTTAAATATTAGCCAGGTGTGGTGGTGCACATCTGTGGTCCCAGCTACTCGAGAGGCTGAGGTAGGAGGATCGCTTGAGTCCGGGGGGTCAAAGCTGCAGTGAGCTGTGATCATGCCTAGGCAACTGCAGTCCAGCCTAGGCAACAGGGTGAGAGAGACCTTATCTCCAAAAAAAAAAAAAGCCAGGCATGGTGGTACACCCTGTAGTCCCAGCTATGCAGGAGGCTGAGATGAGAGGATCATTTGAGCCTAGAAGGCCAAGGCTGTAGTGAGTCATGATTGTGCTATTGCACTCCAGGCTGGGTGATAGAGACCTTGTCTCAAAAAAAGAAGTGCACAATATTGCTTAAAAGGATTCTGTGAAAATAAATTAGGTAAGTAATATGCAAAGAAATAAACAGCTAGCTTTTACTGAAATATCACAGCCAGGCACAGTGGCTCACGCCTATAATCCCAGCACTTTGGGAGGCCAAGGCAGGCGGATCAGGAGGTCAGGAGATTGAGACCATCCTGGCTAACACGGTGAAACCCCGTCTCTACTAAAAATACAAAAAAATTAGCCGGGCGTGGTAGGACGCGCCTGTAGTCCCAGCTACTCAGGAGGCTGAGGCAGGAGAATTGCTTGAACCCAGGAGGCAGAGGTTGCAGTGAGCCAATATCGTGCCACTGCACTCTAGCCTGGGCAACACAGCAAGACTCCATCTCAAAAAAGAAAAAAAAAACGAAAAAAGAAATACCACTTGTGGCATGTAAGTGACTATGGAAATAACTGACCTATAAAGTACCGAGAAAAAAACACAAATAGTCAGTTGGGCGCAGTAGCTCATGCCTGTAACCCCAGCACTCTGGGAGGCTGAGGCAGGAGGATCACCTGAGGTCGGGAGTTTGAGACCAGCCCGACCAACATGGGGAAACCCCATCTCTACTAAAAAATATACAAAATTAGCTGGGTGTGGTGGCGCATGCCTGTAATCTCAACTACGCAGGAGGCTAAAGCAGGAGAATCACTTGAATCTGGGAGGCAGAGGTTGCAGTACCTGAGATCAAGCCACTGCACTCCAGCCTGGGCAACAAGAGTGAAACTCCATCTCAAAAACAAAAGACACTAATAGTCACTAAAGAGATTTAACATCCTTTCTCCCCCCCCTTTTTTTTTTTTTGAGACGGAGTCTCACTCTGTCACCTGGGCTAGAGTGCAATGGTGCGATCTCCGCTCACTGCAACCTCCACCTCCTGGGTTCAAGTGATTCTGCTGCCTCAGCCTACTGAGTAGCTGGGATTACAGGCGCACGCCACCATGCCAGGCTAATTTTTGTATTTTTAGTAGAGACAGGGTTTCACCATGTTGGTCAGGCTGGTCTCAAACTCCTGACATCGTGATCCGCTTGCCTCGGCCTCCCAAAGTACTGGGATTACAGGCTTGAGCCACCATGCCCGGCCCTCCTTTCTCTTTAAGGTAAGGAATTACAAATATAACCCGCCACAGGTAAGTAACTGAAGGGCAAATGAAGTTACCTTAGCACAATGAAGATCCTTATGTTTCTTCAACAGTTTATCTGCTTGCTGAATTGCCATTTTATTATTACCATTGTCAAGATAATCTATGAAAAAACAAATTATGTGACAGTTATTATATTCCTTCAATAACAAATATAAAAAATGCACCAACTGGTATGAGATATTTTGGAAAATATCTTAATTTGCTATATAAAACATCATGGAGGCCGGGCGTGGTGGCTTACACCTGTAATCCCAGCACTCTGGGAGCCCGAGGCAGATGGATCACTTGAGGCCAGGAGTTCGAGACCAGCCTGGGCAACATGGATAAACCCCAACTCTACTAAAACTACAAAAATTAGCCAGGCAGTGGTGATGCACACCTGTAGCCCCAGGTACTCGGGAGGCTGAGGCACGAGAATCGCTTGAACCTGGGAGGCAGAGGTTGCAGTGACCTGAGATCATGCCACTGCACTCCAGCCTGGGCAAAACAGTGACACCCTGCCTCAGAAAAAAGTAATAACACAAAATAATAATAATAAAACAAAATAATAAAAACATCATGGGCACAGTCCAGTGGCTCACACCTGTAATCCCAGTACTTTGGGAGGCCAAGGTGGGTGAATCACTTGAGCCCAGGAATTCGAGACCAGCTCTGACAACTTAGTGAGACCCTGTCTCTAGAAGAAATATAAAAATTAGCCAGGCATGTTGCCATGCACCTGTAATCCCAGCTACTCAGGAGGCTGAGGTGGGGTGATCATTTGAGCCTGGGAAGTTGAGGCTACAGTGTGAGCCACGGTCGTGCCACTGCACTCCAGTTTGGGCAACTGAGTGAGACCCTGATTCAAAAAAACTTTTTTTTTTAATTTAAAAATTTTTTTCAACAAATAAAAACATTATGGATCTAATTTTAACTATAAATGGCTAGGACGGTCAAGAATACAAACTTATCCCAGCACTTTGGGAGGCTGAGGTGGGTGGATCACGAAGTCAGGAGATCGAGACCATCCTGGCTAACATGGTGGAAAACCTGTCTCTACTAAAAAATACAAAAAATTAGCCAGGCGTGGTGGTGGGCTCCTGCAGTCCCAGCTACTGGGGAGGCTGAGACAGGAGAATGGCGTGAACCCAGGAGGCGGAGCTTACAGTGAGCCAAGATGGCGCCACTGCACTCCAGCCTAGGCGACAGAGGGAGACTCTGTCTCAAAAAAAAAAAAAAAAAAAAAAGAATACAAACTTACGTCCCTATAGTCATCTCTCATCTACAAGTAATATAATCACACTATGTAGTCCTTAGTGAAGATTCAAGACTATACATATTTAGATGAGATGACATTAATATTTTTATCCATGGATAAGTAATGAGTTTAGTCACCAAAATCTTAAAATCTTTTAAAAATTAAAATAAAAACCAAAAAAGAAACCTTTCTAGTATTCAGGCCTCAAATCTACCAAGTGGACTATGTTCCTTCAATGAAATATATTTAATGAGTACTGACTTTGCCACAGAGTTAAGTCTAATTTGCTGAAGAAAAAAATAAGAGAAAGTTTTACCCATAAGATTGGGAGGTAGGGAATGAATTTCAATAATAGCAGGAGTAGGCAAGGATGTAGGGAAAATAGTACTTTTTTGTGTGTGTGTGAGACAGGGTCTTGCTCAGTCGCCCAAGTTGGAGTGCAATGGCACAATCTTGACTCACTGCAACCTCTGCCTCCTGAGTTCAAGCAATTCTCCTGCCTCAGCCTCCCGAGTAGCTGGGATTACAGGTGTGCACCACCATGCCCAGCTAAATTTGGTATTTTTACTAGAGATGAGGTTTCACTATGTTGGCCAGGCTAGTCTCGAACTCCTGACCTCAAGTGATCTGCCCGCCTCAGCCTCCCAAAGTGAAGGGAGTACATGTGTGAAAGGAGTGTGCCACCATGCCCAGCTGATACATTTCAAGTTTTAAGGAATATGGAGACCCACCATAAAATTGTGTTAGGCTGAGTGTGGTGGCTCATGCCTGCAATCCCAGCACTTAGGAAGGCTGAAGCGGGAGGATAACTTGAGGCCAGAAGTACAAGACCAGCCCAGGCAACACAGCAAGACACCATCTCTAGAAAAAATTTAAAAATTTGGCCAGGCGCGGTGGTTCACACCTGTAATCCCAGCACTTTGGGAGGCCGAGGCGGGCGGATCACGAGGTCAGGAGATTGAGACCATCCTGGCTAACACGGTGAAACCCCATCTCTACTAAAAATACAAAAAATTAGCCGGGCATGGTGGCGGGTGCCTGTAGTCCCAGCTACTCGTGAGGCTGAGGCAGGAGAATGGCGTGAACCCAGGAGGTGGGGCTTGCAGTGAGCTGAGATCGCGCCACTGCACTCCAGCCTGAGTGACAGAGTGAGACTCCGTCTAAAAAAAAAAAGAATTAAAAAAATTTGTCAGGTACGGTGGCGCATGCCTATAGTCCCAGCTACTTGGGAGGTCTGCTTGAGCTTGGGAGGTAGAGGCTGCAGTGAGCTATGATTGCACTACTGCACTCCAGCCTGGGTGGCAGAGCAAGACCTTGTCTCAAAAAAAAAACAAAAACAAACAAACAAAAAAAAAAAAACAAGAAATGAACTATCAAGCACAAAAGACAGAGAGAAAGAAAAAAAAAGACATGGAGGAAGCCTTATATTCATATTGCTAAGGGAAAAAAACCCAATCTGAAAAGGCTATATACTATATAACTCCTACATGGCATTCTGGAAAAGGTGAAAAACTATACAGATAGTAAAATCATCAGTGGTTGACAGAGGATGGAGGTTGGGATGGATAGGTGGAGCACAGGGGATTTTTAGGGCACTGAAACATTCTATATAATACTGTAATGGTGGATATAGGTCTTCATACATTTGTCAAACCCAGAGAATACACAACACAAAGAATGAAGCCTAAACTATTTACGGATTTTAATTAACAATTATGTATCATGTTGGCTCAGCAATGGTAACAAACGTATATGAATCCAAGTTGTTAATAATAAGGGAAACCATGGGGATGGGGAGAGGGAGTATTTGGGAACTCTGTACTTTCTACTCATTTTTCTGTAAACCATAAAGCAGTTTTATGCTCTAAAAACAGTCTATTAATTCTTTTAAAAAGTCTAACAAAAGCAAAGATTCATTTCTAGAGAAGAAAAATGAGAAGTGTTATAAATGGGAAAACAGTACAGTAGCTGTCAATTCTAAATATACAATGATGACTGAACACAGGCCAGTTCACAATCCTCTACCACTACCAGGTTCCTCTTTGCTCATCAAAGTTCCCTATCAGCAAAGGCACAGACAACTTAAAATAATCTATGACCCTGGTGGCTCAGAGTGTCCCACAGAACAGAAATAAACTTTCATTTTACTATACTAAATTTTTCTGCAATTAACACTTAACTAAAACTTAGTCTCATGAATGCATGAGTTCAATGCACTTAATGCACTTAATATTGATGAGCACCAATAATGCTAGGTAAAAAGATAAGAAGCCTTACTCTGTAGGAAATCACAATTTAGAGAGGAAGGCCAAAGACCTAATATTCTGGAGAGGCATTGGAGAATCACAGATATCTAAAAGCACATAATCTTGGCCTAAATACCTAAACATCTAATACCAGTTTTCTTAAATCCTTAGCTGAACTGACAGGCCATCATTTGTCCTTATAAACTATCTGACAAAGATAAACCAGCTCAATAAACGACACCCTCTCTTCCTCATAACTTGATGCTGATCTCATTCTGAGTCAGTTCTAAGTCATTGCTGACTCAGTGGTCCTGCAAGGTTCCAGGTTCATAGAACCTATCTTGAAGCCTTCTCAAAGGGTAAACATCTTTGATGAGACCCATCTCTGAAGGTCTGCCCATAAATGGATCAGACCAGAGGTTAGGACTATAAGGGTATTTTTCCCTTCCCCTCTGTAGTTGACGAGGTTCTGATATAATGTACCTACTTGCCCATGCCCTCTTGTCTGGAAATGGTTTCCAGTGCCCCTGCTGAAGGGGTAGGACTAGATGACCATGTCTAGACCATGTAACTGCAGCCCACCCCAGGTTGGACATTTGATCCAAGCTGGGTAAATCAGGTTTCTTCCTGGTACTCTCTAACTATAAAACTGAAAGCCAGAGTCAGTAAGTTACAAGGAACCTCAGGTGGAAAATCTTAAAAATTTTAAGTCTGAGTTTACCAGTGGCAGCTCCAGAATTTCTATTTTGAAGGCACTTTCGGGGATGCAAGTTGATTGATGTGCAGCAAAGAAAAAGAGTTGTCTCGGCCAGGCGTGGTGGCTCACGGCTGTAATCCCAGCACTTTGGGAAGCTGAGGCGGGTGGATCATGAGGTCAGGAGATCGAGACCATCCTGGCTAACACGGTGAAAGCCCATCTCTACTAAAAATACAAAAAATTAGCCGGGCGTGGTGGCGGGCGCCTGTAGTCCCAGCTACTCGGGAGGCTGAGGTAGGAGAATGGCGTGAACCCTGGAGGCGGAGGTTTCAGTAAGCCAAGATTGCGCCACTGCACTCCAGCCTGGGAGACAGAGCGAGACTCCGTCTCAAAAAAAAAAAAAAAAAAAGAGTTGTCTCTTGACTCTTTATTCACACAGCATTTATATAAAAATGAAAAATGTCAATTACCTTTATTGGAAAATCTAGAGAAATTAAGCTTACGGGTGAGGCTAATGAACCCTCCCTTCTCCAGCCACAGCTTGGTGTGGCTACAAAAGTCAACATGTTGGGTTCTGGGTAAGTTGATGAGTAAGCAGGAAAAAACATTATGAAGAACCGAGCAGACCCGGCGGCTCATGCCTGTAATTCCAGCACTTTGGGAGGCAGAGGCAGACAGATCCCTTGAGGTCAGGAGTTCAAGACCAGCCTGGCCAACACGGTGAAACCCCGTCTCTACCAAAAAAAGTACAAAAATTAGCTGGGCTTGGTGGCGCACGCCTGTAATCCCAGCTACTTGGGAGGCTGAGGCCTAAGAATCACTTGAACCCGGGAGGCGGAGGTTGCAATGAGCTGAGATTGTGCCACTGCACTCCAGCCTGGCAACAGAGCAAGACTCCATCTCAAAAAAAAAAAAAAAAAAAAAACCAAGCAGAGAAATGAATAGACACAGAGAAAAGCAGAGATGAGCAACTGAAAAAGAAGCTTCAGGTCCTGACAACTTTCTCATTTCCATCAGGTCCTGGGGCACTACACTCTTGCCTTGGCTCCCACAAGGATTTACAGTAACCGTCTTTACTTGCGCTGGTATCAAAGAGATTGTTTCTTCACCTGAAAGAGTTTAAAACACTTTACCACATTCAGCCAGGTATCAGGCTCCCATTTCCTGGACCTAGGAGAGTGTGATTAATTAGCTGCTAAGTCTCTTGGGAAAGTTTATTTTCATTTTACATTACTAAATCTGTAATATAAGTTAAGTAGTCCTTGGAGAAAACAAGCCAATAAAAACGATATCCTAAATCTGTCTTCTTAGTAAGTCTTTTTAAAAAGCTACTCAAGGGGAATTGTAGTTTGGCCATGAGGAATGGTGCTGTTCCCTTAATAACAGGAGTCAGCCAAAATCAGCCATCCACAGATCAGGCAATGGAAACAATAAGATGTATTGGTTAAAGCAGTATTTTCCAAAGCACGGGTGAGTGCCATTCCAAATGAAATGTTTTTAGTCCTTGCAGACAGCCCTAGATAATACTCACAGTGAAAAAGTCAATCTCTTTCTTTCTTTTTTTTGAGACTCGCTCTGTTGCCCAGGCTAGAGTGCAGTTGCGCGATCCCAGCTCACTGCAACCTCCGCCTCCAAGGTTCAACTGGGATTGTGCTAAGATTACAGGCGTGAGCCACCACGCCTGGCCCTAATCTCTTTTCTAATACTTCCTTTACATTAAGGAGAAAGTGTCAGTTTGGTGCTAGCCTACTATTTCTCTAAAAATTGCTAGTATCTTTTTTTTTTTTTGGAGACAGAGTCTCACTCTGTCGCCAGGCTGGAGTGCAGTGGCATGATCTCGATTCACTGCAACCTCCACCTCCTAGATTAAAGCAATTCTCCTGCCTCAGCCTCCTGAGTAGCTGGGACTACAGGTGCGCACCACCACACCCAGCTAATTTTTTTTGTACTTTTAGTAGAGACGGGGTTTCACCATGTTGGCCAGGATGGTCTCAATCTCTTGACCTCGTGATCCGTCTGCCTCGGTCTCCCAAAGTGCTGGGATTATAGGCATGAGCTGTCGCACTCGGCCTTTTTTTTTTTCCAGAAGGAAGGAATAGGTCCTGAAGTTTCACAAGTATCAGAATCTGGTTAATAACATTGTTTAGTTTTCATTGTACTTTACTTTTACAGTTTTATTTTCCTACAGCAAGTGATACAAGTTTTCCACTCATAGCAATAATATAATTATAAAATAAATTTAATTTTAAAAGTCACCTTGGAGAAAAATATTAACTGATAGCACAGATAATACTATAATGCAGCTAAAATAATGAGATTAGGTAAAAGAACGATAGAAATTTGGGAAGAACTGGGATAAATCATTGGCAAGACACTATCAAAATTTGTTGAATGAACGCACAAGCTGCACTCCTGAGGTAACACTTCCCAAAGAAGCTACTAGTCCTTGGAGATGCAGGCAGCAGCAGGCCTGGACACATGCAGGCCTGCTGTCCACATGCCCTGGAGAAGAGGTCCTGGGATTTGTTCATCCAATCTTACTGAGGGATGGATACTGACAGTAGGAAAAGTATCAATTTTGCAAATAAAAAGGAAAGTTTTTCATCTGCATGTTCTTGCAGCTGCCATGAATGGTCTCCTTAGCAGCTGAAATAGTATGCTCAGTTTCCACTTCCTACAAGAATTTCAGAGACTATTAAAGATATTGCCACAACTTATAAAAACGCTAAATAGAAGAGAGCTCCATCTTTAAACACAATATCCTTTACTTAAAAATTCTAAAAGTTGGAGAATAGGAGCCTTGCTTTTACCATGAATACAAATTACAGAAGACACATTCCTTCACTCAGCAAGCCTTTGTTAAATACCTACCATGTGCAAGATTGCAAGGGACAAGGATGAACCTAAAAATGAATAATGCCTCCTAACTGACCGACCCATTCTACATTTGCCTCCTATTTATTTATGACAGAGTCTTGCTCTGTCACCAGGCTGGAGTGCAGTGGCACGATCTCGGCTCACTGCAACCTCTGCCTCCCAGGTTCAAGTGATTCTCCTGCCTCAGCCTCCTGAGCAGCTGGGACTACAGGCTCGTACCACCAGGCCTGGCTAATTTTTTTGTATTTTAGTAGAGACAGGGTTTCACCATGTTGGCCAGGATGGTCTCGATCTCCTGACCTCGTGATCCTCCTGCCTCAGCCTCCCAAAGTGCTGGGATTACAGGCGTGAGCCACCACACCTGGCCTTGCTTCCCTTTTAGTTTAAAGGTTTATTTCCCACACAGTATTCAGAGCTATCTTTTTTACATGCACACCTTATCACTCTACTCCTCTGGTTAAATCCTTTTAATGTCATCCACTGTCCTTTTCTTTCTTTTCACAGGTATTGATTCCATTGTCTTTTTTTTTTTTTTTTTTTTTTTGAGATGGAGTCTTGCTCTGTTGCCCAGGCTGGAGTGCAGTGGCTCGATCTTGGCTCGCTGCATGCTCCGCCTCCCGGGCTCACGCCATTCTCCTACCTCAGCCTCCGGAGTAGCTGGGACTACAGGCGCCCGCCATCACGCCCGGAGAATTTTTTGTATTTTTAGTGGAGACGGGGTTTCACCGTGTTACCAGGATAGTCTCGATCTCCTGACCTCGTCATCCACCTGCCTTGGCCTCCCAAAGTGCTGGGATTACAGGCGTGAGCCACCACACCCGGCCTGATTCCACTGTCTTTAAAACAAATTTCAATATCCTTAAAATGGATTACAAAGCTGAGTCGCTGCCCACCCCAGCCTCATCTCACTTCCTCACTCATTTCTTCATTCCAACTGCACAAGCCTTTGCTTACATCCTCAAGTGGACCAAGCTCCTTTTCTCAGGGTCTTCACCACCCTCTCCCCATCTCTTTGCCTAACCCTGGTTCTCTTTTCATGTCCAAAGTAAAACATCATTTCCACAGGAAACCTTTTCTTGACCTGACCCCAACAGTCCAAATGCCCCTATTGTATGCTCTCATGGCAAACTGTCCTATTCCTTCAAATCCCTTAACATAACTGTAATGGTGATGTGTACTGTCATTTCAAGGAGATAAGCTCCTTGAAAGCAGAAACTATGTCTGTGCTGTTTAGTACTCATTTCCTGCATCTATATTGTGCCTAACACATATCAGGCCCTCAATAAATGTTGAATGAAGGAATGCATAAATGAACAAATTGTATGGGGGAAAAAAGGGCAGTCTGCTAGAAAAATGAAAGATATATATATAAGATAATACAGGCCGGGTGCGGTGGCTCATGCCTGTAATCCCAACAGTTTGGGAGGCCGAGGAAGGTGGATTGCTTGAGGTCAGGAGTTCAAGACCTGCCTGACCAACATGGTGAAATCCCATCTCTACTAACAATACAAAAATTAGCCAGGTGTGGTGGCAGGTGCTTGTAATCCCAGCTACTTGGGAGGCTGAGGCAGGAGAATCACTTGAATCCAGGAGGCGGAGGTTGCAGCGAGTGGAGATCACGCCATTGCACTCCAGCCCAGGTGACAGAGTGAGACTGCATCTTAAAAAATCTATCAAAAAAAAAAGATAATACAAAGTGATCACAACAGGAAGTTCAAAGAACCAGTGATTAGTGATGGCTACCAGCTATTAAATTTTTTCCAAATCTTTTCAACTTTTTTTTTTTTTTTTGAGACAGAGTCTAGCTTTGTCACCCAGGCTGCAGTACAGTGGTGCAATCCCGGCTCACTGCATCCTCCACCTCCTGGGTTCAAGCTATTCTCCTGCCTCAGCCTCCCGAGTAGCTAGGATTACAGGCGTGCATCACCATGCCCAGCTAATTTTTTTGTATTTTTAGTAGAGATGGGTTTTCACCACGTTGGCCAGGCTGGTCTGAAACTCCTGGACTCAAGTGATCCACCCAGGAGGCGGAGGTTGCAGCAAGCTGAGATCGCACCATTGCACTCCAGCCTGGGCGACAAGAGTGAAACTCCATCTCAAAAAAATAAAATAAAATAAAAATTTAAAAAACTAGCCAGGCATGGTGGCATGTGCCTGCAGTGCCAGCTACTCCAGAGGCTGAGGCGGGAGGATCACTTGAGCTCAGGAGGTCGAAGCTGCAGTGAGCCATGTTCACATCACTGCACTGCAGCCTGGACAACACAGCAAGACCTTGTCTCCAAAAACAGAAAAAAAAAAAGAAATGTACTAATCTCTTCATCTTGCCCTATGTTTCAACAACTACCCTCTAATCTATGTATTCATCTAAGAATATTTTTGTGCACTAAAACCTTCATTTTCAGTTTAAAAGTCTAGGTCAGGGTTTTTTGTTGTTGTTGTTTGTTTGAATTATTCAGCTAAGACAGCAGAATAGTTTTTTGTTTATTTGTTTTGACATAGAATCTTGCTCTGTTGCCCAGGCTGGAGTACAGTGGCACAATCTCAGCTCACTGCAGCTTGAAGTTCCTGGGTTCAAGCATGCACCATCACACTAGCTGCCCCCCCGCCCCCCGCAATGGAGTCTCGCACTGGAGCCCAGGCTGGAGTGCAATAGCGCGATCTCGGCTCACTGCAACCTCCGCCTCCTGGGTTCACGCGATTCTCTTGCCTCAGCCTTCTGAATAGCTGGGATTACAGATGCACACTACCACACCCGGCTAATTTTTCGTATATTTTTAGTAGAGACGGAGTTTCACTATGTCGGTGAGACTCGTCTCAAACTCTTGACCTCATGATCCGCCGGCCTCGGCTTCCCAAAGTGTTAGGATTACAGGCGTGAGCCACTGCACTCAGCCCTATTTTTTATTTTTTTGAGATGAAGTCTCGCTCTGTCCCCCAGGCTGGAGTACAGTAGCACAATCTCAGCTCACTGCAGCCTCCGCCTCCCGGGTTCAAGTGATTCTTCTGCCTCAGCCTCCTGAGTAGCTGGGGTTACAGGCGCCTGCCACCACACCTGGCTAATTTTTGTATTTTTAGTAGAGATGGGGTTTTGCCATTTTGGCCAGGCTAGTCTCGAACTCCTGGCCTCAAGCAACCCACCCACCTCGGCCTCCCAAAGTGCTGGGATTACAAGCATGAGCCACCTCACCCAGCCAAACCACTGTGCCCAGCTTTGTATGCTTGTTAACACTTGGCCAAAACTGAACACAAAAATAGTCCAGAATGTCACAGGTCCAGGGCAAAAGACCAACAGGGACTGTTTTGGTTATGAGCAAGGTTTTGGTATGGCAGAGGTGGTCTCAGCCATCCAATGGTGATGGAAGTTCTAGATTCATTGAGAGAAGTTCTAGTAAGTCAGGGCTTTTTAAATGGTCATATTTTCAGAATGGAAAAAAATAGGTTGTGCCAAGTGACTTTTCTACAGAAACGCAAGATAGTCTTCACTCACCAAGGTACCCTGTCACTTCTGAGGCAAAATAGGACCAGACTCACAAAGCTACCACACTGTCCAAGAGGAGGTCAGAATAAATACCACTTTTGATTGAGGACCTGCAAGTTTTCATTTATGAACTAGAGCAGTGGTCCCCAACCTTTTTGGCACTAGGGACCGATTTCATGAAAGACAATTTTTCCACAGATGGCAGGGAGGGATGGTTTCGGGATAAAACTATTCCACCTCAGATATCAGGCATTAGTTAGAGTCTCATAAGGAGCGCCAACCTCGATTCCTCACATGCATAGTTCACAACAGGGTTTGTGTTCCTACTCCTAAGAGCTGATCTGACAGGAGGCGGGGCTCAGGCAGTAATGCTCTCCCCCACAACACCCTGCTGCTCACCTCCTACTGTGCGGCCCATTTCCTAACAGGCCACAGACCAGTATCACACACCATCCTGGGGTCAGGAACTCCTAAACTATGAACTATAGTGGAATAATTACCTGAGCCAGGCACCCAAGAGAAATGTCCTAACTCAGCAAAGAAGTGACTGTCACCCGGGAGACACACTGGAAAATATCTTACACCTGATCCAGGCTAATCCAAGACTGCAGGTCAGTACGACATATTAAAACAAGGGATCTCATGCCTGTGTATGTGTGTATATTCTAAAGACTATGCACACATTTTTTCTACTTTGAACTTTCTCTATTTCTATTATGCAATTTGCTGACCTAGCAATTCCCATATTCTATACAAATTTATTAAGTGCCATACCTGACCATCAATTCCACTTCCAATTATCTAAAAATATGAGCGTGAAATTAAAAACAAAAAAGAAAAAAAAGAAAGAAAAATAAATAAATAAAAGTATGGGGTAGAGGAGGCTGCATAACAAAACAGAGTCAAATATTTATTATCTCCCTCCATCCCTTCCCTTCCCTAATCCATAACCACTGAAAATGTTTTAAAATTAAGAATAATGGGGCCAGGTGCAGTGGCTCACGCCTGTAATCCCAGCACTTTGGGAGGCTGAGGCAAGTGGACCACATGATCAGAAGTTCAAGACCAACCTGGCCAATGTGGTGAAATCCTGTCTCTACTAAAAATACAAAAAATTAACCTGGCGTGGTGGCGGGCGCCTGTATTCCCAGCTGCTCTGGAGGCTGAGGCAGGAGAATGGCGTGAACCCGGAAGGTGGAGCTTGCAGTGAGCGGAGATCACGCCACTGCACCCCAGCCTGCAGGACAGAGTGAGACTCCATCTCAAAAAAAAAAACAAAACAAAAACAAAAACAAAAATTAGCCGGGCATGGTGGTGCATGCCTGTAACCCAGCTACTCAGGAGGCTGAGGCAGAGAACTGTTTGAACCCAGGAGGCAGAGGTTGCAGTGAGCCAAGATCGCGCCACTGCATTCCAGCCTGGGTGACAGAGCAAGACTCCTTCTTAAAAAAATAATAATAATAATGGGCAGGGCGCAGTGGCTCACGCCTGTAACCCCAGCACTTTGGGAGGCCAAGGCAGGCAGATTGCTTGAGCTCAGGAGTTCGAGACCAGCCTGAACAACATGGTGAAATGCTGTCTCTACAAAAAATACAAAAATTAGCCAGGCGTGGTGGTGCCCGCCTGCAGTCCCAGTACTCAGGAGGCTGAGGTGGATGGATGACTTGAGCCTGGGAAGTGGAGGTTACAGTGAGCCAAGACACTCCAGCCTGGGTGACAGAGCCAGATCCTGTCTCAAAAAAATAACGAAAGAAGGCACTGGGGCTTACCAAGTCACACAAGAGTACAAAATCTGCTGGGAACTACGTAGCAAAAGAGAATAATTTTAGCAAAAGGAGACCAAATAATCAAGTATGGGTTCCAGTAAGGTCATGGGTGGAGGTTTTCAAAAACGAAAAATGCAATACCCAAACTTATTAGTAATGTGAGATGCACTGGGAAGATGTTTCAAATCTATGCACACAGAAAAGCTATTCCAACCCTAGACACCACCAGTAAAATTTCAACCCACCACAATTTATCACCACATAGCCCTGTCCACATATACCCTCAATGAATTCCAGCAAGAGCTGAGGCCCCAAGCAAGGTTTCCAACACAATTGTAAAATAAATCCTGAAACCTTGGCAGTACAAATACTGTTGTACAAAGACAGTGATGCTACTGAATCTGAACTTGGTGAAGAGCTGAGCTCTCAGTGAGAATGTCTATGTTCAAATCCCAGCTCTACAACTTGGTAGCTACAACCTTGAGCAAGTTAATCTCTAGGCTTCAGTTTGATCACAATAATCTTACCTACCTAATAGGGCAGTCAGCCCACCAGTAAACACTAATTAATGCTGATAGTTGTTGAATTTTTGGCTGGTGGGCAAGTACCACCATAGATGAGTTTGTTCATTTGTCAGAATGTCTGAATTCAAGGAACCATGGTTGTTTGGGGGTAGTAATGTATTTAAACAACAAAAGTGTGGAGTTCAAAAGTCAAATGTGCTTAAGTGCTGAATTCACGGACAGTCTGTACCGTTCTTTTCCTAGTCCTGCCAGTTTATACTAATCGCCTTAGAATTACTGAAGAAAGCCTCTTCTAATCCTCTTCCCATGTACATGTTACAAAAGCTACATAATTCTGACTTCAGTTTTGAGAATATAACTTGTTAATATATCCTGATGTTTAGTGATGTGAAATGGACATGGTGTTTCCCATTAGACAGTCAAAACACTATTAATTCTAAATAACTATGGGACCAAAGAAATTCTCTTTGGTCCTCAAGAACAATTTTAAAAATCAAATTATTCTTGAAAGTATTGAGTGTTTTTAGTTTAAAAAAAAAAAAGTCTGCAGGCAGCTGCTGCACAAAGCTGTAATGAGTCACAAACTATGAACCCTGGATTCAGTTCTCACCTTCCATCACCCACCTTGTATATATATCTCTGCCCTCTGAAAATATACACTGGAGGGCAAGGGCATGAGAATATGCAGCCCCGGGGAAATAGGAAATCAGAGTCCTTTCTCTGCCACTTACCATCTGTGTGACCTCAGGCAAATCAGTGTCTTCAGCTCAAAGTGAGGTAGTTTCTAGCACAGTGGTTAAGAAGGTGAGCCTGGGCCAGGCACAGTGGCTCACACCTGTAATCCCAGCACTCTGGGAGGCTGAGGCAGGACTGCTTGAGCTCAGGAGTTTTAGACTAGACTGGGCAACATGACGAAACCCATTCTCTACAATATATACAAAAATTAGCCGGCATGGTGGCGGGCACCTGTAATCCCAGCTACTCAGGAGACTGAGGCAGGAGAATCACTTGAACCCAGGAGGCGGAGGCTGGTTGCAGTGCACTGTGATTGTGCAACTGCACTCTAGCCTGGATGACAGAATGAGACTGTCTCCAAAAAAAAAAAAAAAAAAAAAAAAAAGGTGAGCCTGGAGCCAGGCATGGTGGCTCACACCTATAATCCCAGCACTTTGGGAGGCTGAGTAGGTCAAGAGTTCAAGTCCAGCCTGGCTAACATGGTAAACTCCTGTCTCTACTAAAAACATGGAAGTTCGCTGGGCCTGGTGGCGTGCAACTGTAATCTCAGCTACTCAGGAGGCTGAGGCAGGAGAATCGCTTGAACCTGGGAGGCAGAGGGTGCAGTGAACTGAGATTGTGCCACTGTACTCCAACCTGGACGACAGAGTGAGACTCATCTCAAAAGAAAAAAAAGGTGAGCCTGAAACAGTCCACAGGGGTTCAAATTCTAGCTCCAAGAAATACTAACTGAGTGGCCTTAGACAAATTACACAACAACAATAAAGCCTCAGTTTCCTCATCTGTTTTTTTTTTTGTTGTTGTTGTTGTTAAAGGGTTCAGGGGCAGGAAAAAACAGTAGCCACCTCTTGAGAATGGGTGAAGATTATATTAGATAACCCATATAAAAGGCCAAGGCCAGTGACTGTCATAATGAGTCATCTATAAACCTTAGCTATAGGATTGTTGCTAAAATCAAATGAGATGTGAGAGTAAAAAAAAAAATCACACAAATTATGAAATAAAAGCCGGACTAACTGTGGCCAGAAACAAAGTTAACCACCGCCCCCCGCTCCCAAAACGATTCCCACCTTGGAGAGAAGCCTCCAATTTAGTAACATCCACATGAGGTCTATAAATACGATGTCTACTTTTGTAAAAACCACTGACCTTGAAGCTTCCTCACCATTAAGTGAGATAGACCAAGACCATAAAACCATCTAAGAGGAAAGGAAATGCAAAAAGGACCAATCCAATTACACATTTCGGTTATTGGAAAAGGGTTTCTCCCAAACTCAAAATCTGTGATTTTTCACTACCAGGGTAAATGGATGAGATGACATCAAGGTCTTCAAGTCTGCGGGTTGAGGTAAGAGTTGTGGAGAGGGATCTGCTTAGCACAGGGAAGGAAAGCTGCAGAGAAAACCACAGAGAAGCTGCAGAAAGGAGAAGCCCTCCAGTAGCTCTGCATGCCCCTCTGACACGAGCTATCACAATCTCTTCACCGCTATTTTAGGCCCAAGACCCCCTCCCCCCGCCTCCCACGTGTGACCAGAGTAGCTGCTTCTCCACCCAACAGCTCTGGATTGGGAGCCTGGAATCTCGGGCCTGCTCCTGACTCGATCTGGGTGACCTTGCGTCAGCCCCTTCCCCACTCCGGACCTCAGTTTCTCCTATGCACCGAAGCCCACCTAGTCAGACAACCCTCTAGGCCCAATTCCCGTAAATAAAAAAAAATCTCTGGTAGGGAATCTTCCCTCAGGCAGGGCGTCCCACCCTCGTGCCGGAGCCGGCTTCCACCTTCGGGGAGATCTCCGGTCTCCCTAGGAGCGGCGGTAACGATGCAGCCTGCGGGTAGCGCAGGTGTCTGCAGAACCACGCGTCCCACGGGGCCTGCCAAGCAGGCCAGCTCTGCCGACCAGCTGCTGCCCAGACCGCGCCACTACCACCCCAAGGCTGAGGAAGGTTGGGCCGGCGCCTACGCGAGGCCCGCGGCTGCGGCCTAGTGGCCCGCGCGGCCCGCCCCCCTGCGCCTGCCCGGCCCGCGCGCCGGCCCTCAGCACCCCTCCTGGGCTTTCGCCCCAGCCTCGGCAGCCCTCGGCGCGTCGGGCTGGCGAGCGGGCTGGTCCAAGACACTCACCGTAAATGGGCCGGAGGCGCCTGTCGTTAGGGTCCTGCACATGGCCCCGCGTCGCCATGATGACAAGCGCAGAACCACAGTGCGCACGCGCGGGGCAGGACCCCGGGAAAGGGCTATTAAAGGGCCAGCGTCGATCTCGCTTGTCTATCACGATAGTCGCGGTGCTGCGACTGAACGCGCCTGCGCGGAAAGGGAAGCATCCACCCTTGCCGATTGCCACCTCTTTAAACGCTGTTCCTTCACTTAGCAGGTGGGATCAAGCTGGCAAGAGGAGGCAGCTGTTGCTGTTAAAGTCTTCCGAGTCACTGACTGGGAAGTTAGGAGAGGAGGGGAGAAAGCTCTCAAAGTTAGGGTTCGGCTGCTCCTGTTTATCCTATTTATTCTCCGTCCTGAAGAACCAGCTAGACTTGGCTGTGATTAATCGCAGAGGAACCAGAAACTCCCGGGGGAGAGAGACCCAGGGGAAAGTTGGGGAAGCGGGGCTGATCAACAGCAAAAATCTGCCAAAAAAGTTCGAGAGAGCCGGGCGCTGTGGCTCAGCCTGTAATCCCAGCACTTTGGGAGGCCGAGGCGGGCGGATCACAAGGTCAGGAGATCGAGACCATCCTGGCTAACACGGTGAAACCCCATCTCTACTAAAAATACAAAAAAAGTTAGCGGGGCGTAGTGGCGGGCGCCTGTAGTCCCAGCTACTCATGAGGCTGAGGCAGGAGAATGGCGTGAACCCAGGAGGCGGAGCTTGCAGTAAGCCGAGATCGCGCCACTGCACCCCAGCCTGGGCGACAGAGCGAGACTCCATCTCAAAAAAAAAAAAAAAAAAAGAAAAAAGTTCGAGAGCCCTCCACCACCTGTTCCTGGACCAAACTGAGCGTCAGGCTGCTGTTTCTCCTGGTTCAGTAAGGAGATGCAGATGAACTGGAGAGGAAGCGAGTTTTTATTTCTGCAACCAGTTACAGGGAGAAGGCCTGGAAATTATCACCAGACCAACTTAAAATTACAAAGCTTTCCAGAGCTTATATACCTTCTAAGCTATATGTCTACGTGTAAATGTGCATTCATCTAAAGACATAAGTGATTAACTCGCCGGGCGCGGTGGCTCATGCCTGTAATCCCAGCACTTTGGGAGGCCAAGGCGGGCGGATCACGAGGTCAGGAGATCGAGACCACGGTGAAACCCCATCTCTACTAAAAATACAAAAAATTAGCTGGGCGCAGTGACAGGCGCCTGTAGTCCCAGCTACTAGGGAGGCTGAGGCAGGAGAATGGCGTGAACCCGGAAGGCGGAGCTTGCAGTGAGCCGAGATCCCGGCACTGCACTCCAGCCTGGGCGAGGGAGGCTCCGTCTCAAAAAAAAAAAAATAATAATAATAATAATTGATTAACTCACTTTAGTCTATAACTAAGGTTTGAGTCCTGAAGACTTTCCTTTGAAGCCTCAGTAAATTTACTTAATCTAAATGGCAATAGGTGCTGGGGTGATTATCCTTATCTTGCCTCCTACTAAATCACGGAGGTTTGGGGAGTTACTTCAGACCCCCAATAAAATTTGTTTAATCCTAAATGGGTCCTGTTAGGAATTCTTTCGTTATTTTGTCATGCTTTAAGGCCAAGGAAAGGCCTAGGCAAAACTCTTGGTGGGCTTTTGTTACATTCCATCCTTTGTATAAGGGCACTGGCTTTTTTTTTTTAGCTTTTAATATGTAACTTAACCACTCAGTTAGTACTGAAACAGTTGTTATGGAGGCCTGTGTTAGTGAGACCTGGCCTGCCACACACCCTTCTCCCAGGACTCAGCCAACAAAGAAGCATCCTAGATGAATACTTACTCGGTATCTGCCTAGAGTATTTAAATGCAAGGTCTTTACATTTATTCTCTCATTTAATTTTCATAACTGTCATCGTATTTCCCTGGGAGGTAGATCTTATTATTACCTCTCTTTTTACAGATAGATTTATTCGTACAACACTGAGTTATTGAGTGCCTATTATTTGACACACTCTTGTTTTAGGCACAGAGGATACATCAATAAATAAAATAGACAGAGACTTAATGGAGTTTTTATTTGTAGTGAGGGAGACAGACAATAAATAAGTAGATAGCCTATTACATGGTGATAAATGCTACTGAGAAAAATAAAGCAGGAAAGGGGGGCAGTGAGAGAGGGAGGTAATTTTAAATAGTGTGGTAAGGCTGGCTTGGTGGCTCACCCCTGTAATCCCACCACTTTGGCAGGCCAAAGTGGGTGGATCACATGAGGTCAGGGGTTCAAGACAAGCCTGGCCAACATGATAAAACCCCTTCTCTGCTAAAAATACAAATATTAGCTGGGTGTGGTAGTGTGAGCCTGTAACCCCGGCTACTCAGGAGGCTGAGGCAGGAGAATCGCTTGAACCCGGTAGGCAAAGGTTGCAGTGAGCCAAGATCGTGCCATTGCACTCCAGCATGGGCAACAGAGCAAGACTCTTGCATAAATAAATAAATAGGCCGGGTGCAGTGGGTCGTGCCTGTAATCTCAGCACTTTGTGAGGCCGAGGCGGGTGGATCACCTGAGGTCAGGAGTTTGAGACCAGCCTGGGCAACGTGGCGAAACCCCATCTCTACTAAAAATACAAAAAATTAGTCAGGCGTGGTGGCACGTGCCTGTAATCCCAGCTACTCCCGAGGCTGAGGCTTGAACCCGGGAGGTGGAGGTTGCAGTGAGCCAAGATCATGTTGTTGCACTCTAGCCTGGGCAACAGAGCAAGACTCCATCTCAAAAAAAAAAAAAAAAAAGGAAGGCATTTAAATACTCCAGAGGTCGGGAATGGTGACTCACGCCTGTAATCCTAGCACTTAGGAGGTCTAGGCGAGCGGATCACTTGAGGACATGAGTTCGAGACCAGCCTGGGCAACATGGCAAAACCCCATCTCTACTAAAAATAAAAAATTAGCTGAGCGGCTGGGCACAGTGGCTCACGCCTGTAATCCCAGCACTTTGGGAGGCTAAGGTGGGTGGATCACGAGGTCAGGAGATCGAGACCATCCTGGCTAACACGGTGAAACCCTGTCTTTACTAAAAATACAAAAAAATTAGCCAGACGTGGTGGCGGGCACTTGTAGTCCCAGCTACTCGGGAGGCTGAGGCAGGAGAATGGCGTGAACCCAGGAGACGGAGCTTGCAGTGAGCCGAGATTGTGCCACTGCACTCCAGCCTGCAACAGAGTGAGACTCCATCTCCAAAAAAAAAAAAAAAAAAAAAAAAATTAGCTGAGCAGGGTGGTGCGCACCTGTAATCCCAGCTACTCAGGGGGCTGAGGCACAAGAATCACTTGAGCCCAGGAGGTGGAAGTTGCAGAGCCGAGATTGCAACACTGCACTCCAGCCTGGGCAACAGAGGGAGACTCTGTCTCAAAAATATATATAAATAAATAAATACTCCCTGGATAAGGATCATTTGAGCCCAGGAGTTTGAGGCTGTAGTGAGCTATGATTGCACTACTGCACTCCGGCCTGGGTGACAGAGCGAGACCCTGACTCTCCAAAAACAAACAAACAAAGACTCCCGGGATGAAGTTATCAGGCAAAGTACAACAAAATATTTGAGACATACATACATACATTCACTGTTTATCTTAAATTCAAATTTAACTGGGTGTCCTGTATTTTTATTTGCTAAATCGGGCAACCCTGCGCTAGGGGAAACTCCATGCCCCCCAAATCATGCTAAGCAGCAACAATGAAGGGCAGATGCCTCAGGCAAGCTGACCCTAGGATCACTCAGAGATGGTGTGTGACCCTGCTGAGGTTGGGCTAGGACAGGGAAAAGGAGGGAGGAGAGCTGGGGTTCACCTTTGGTGCAAGTGAAAGAGATGATGAGTCACCTGAGATTTAAGAATTTCCCAGGAATGGAAAAATACAGCACCTTTAAGGGGAGCACATATGAGGCTCCTAACCAAGGCTCGGGTTACTCAGCCATGTTCTTACGCTACCTTTGTTGGCCTGGCCCCAGAGGAATGCTGATAGACTTGGCACCCAGCTCCCTGAACTTGGCAAGACCAGGGCATCATATGGATCTACCTAGCAGAGGCTTCTAGAGTCTTAGGTCACCATCCTTAGTGGGATATATTTCCCTCCACTCTGAAAGACTGCTTAGCATCCAACTAGGATTAATTGGTTGTTCTCTTTTCCCATTCCTACTGCTTGTCCTCAGAACCTAAGAATGAAGCAGTGACTCGCTAGGCTCTGGGCCTGTCCTTACCTGCCGCTGGGAGGCAGCTTGCACACCCTTTGGCAGGCCTGAATCTTTTCGGGTAACAAGATGACCTCTGAGGAAGCCAAAAGCCCATCCTTGCTGTACAATTCAGAACTTGGAGCTCTTAGCGATGACATTATGGAAAAGTGCTTGGTATACAGCAGGTGCTCATTAAGTAGTGTTTTCCATTTTCTCAACTTAGAGGAGGGGCATACAGTCTTCATTTGGTAACATTTTCTCTAGTGAGAAACATTCTCCCTGGCCGGGTGTGGTGGCTCATACCTGTAATCTCAGCGCTTTGGGAGGCTGAGGCAGGTGGATCACTTGACGTCTGGAGTTTGAGACCAGCCTGGCCAACATGGCAAAAACCCATCTCTACTAAAAAATACAAAAATTGGCCAGGTGTGGTGGCCCACACCTCTAATCCCAGCTACTTGGGAGGCTGAGGCAGGAGAATCGCTTGAACCCAGGAGGCAAAGGTTGCAGTGAGCCGAGATCACGCCACTGCACTCCAGCCTGGGCCACAGAGCAAGACTCTGTCCCCCTACCGCCAAAAAAAAAGAAGAAGAAGAAGAAGCAGAAGGAGAAGGAGAAGGAGGAGAAGGAAAAGGAGAAGAGAAGGAGGAGGAGGAGGAGGAGAGGAAGAGGAAGAGGAAGAGGAAGAAGAAATGTTTTCCCTAAAGGGCAGTGAGACACCTGGGTGCTTTGTGCCTGAATAGCTAAGGATACCAGGGAGGGGGACTGCATTACTTGAATATGGTGATGTGGGTGTCTCCATCCAATGATTCTTCTAGTTTTTCTTTTTTTTTTGCGGGGGGGACGGAGTCTCGCTCTTTCGCCTGGGGCCGGACTGCAGTGGCGCTATCTCGGCTCACTGCAAGCTCCGCCTCCCAGGTTCTCGAGTAGTTGAGACTACAGGCGCCCGCCACCACGCCCGGCTAATTTTTTGTATTTTTAGTAGGGACGGGGTTTCACAGTGTTAGCCAGGATGGTCTGGATCCTCCCGACCTCATGATCCGCCTGCCTCGGCCTCCCAAAGTGCTGGGATTACAGGCGTGAGCCACCGCGCCCAGCCTATGGTTTTATTTTTAACACGTAAATATTTGATCCATTTGGTATTTATTTCCATATGAATAATAAGGTAGTCTTTCGGCCAAGCGTGGTAGTTCACACTAATCCCAATACTTTGGGAGGCCAAGATGGGCAGATCACTTGAGGTCAGGAGTTCGAGACCAGCCTGGCCAACATGGTGAAACCCAGTCTGTACTGAAGATACAAAAATTAGCCGAGCGAGGTGGTACGTGCCTGTATTCCCAGCTACTCAGGAGGCTGAGGCAGGAGAATCACTTGAATCTAGGAGGAGGAAGTTGCAGTGAGCTGAGATCTCACCATTGCACTCCAGCCTGGGCGACAGAGCAAGACTCCCTCTCAAAATAAACAAATTAAATAAATAAATAAATAAATAAATAAATAAATGTCAGGTGCGGTAGCTCATGCCTGTAATCCCAGCACTTTGGGAGGCCGAGGTGGGCAGATTGCCTGAGCTCAGGAGATGACAACTAGCCTGGGCAACCTGGTGAAACCCCATCTCTACTAAAAATACAAAAAATTAGCTGGGCGTGGTGGCGTGCGCCTGTAGTCCCAGCTACTTGGGAGGCTGAGGCAGGAGAATTGCTTGAACCCAGGAGGCGGAGATTGCAGTGAGCTGAGATCTCGCCACTGCACTCCAGCCTGGGCAACAGAGCAATACTCTGTCTCAAAACGAATAAATAAATAAGGTGAGATTTCAATTTTATCTTTTTCAGTTGTATCTATCTATCTATAGTGGTCATATAAATATATATAGTAGCTGTATAAATATATAAAGGGAATATATATATACATATATATACACATGTATATATTTTTGTTTTGTTTTGTTTTGTTTTTGCCGGGTGCGGTGGCTCGCAGGCTGGGCGCAGTGGGTCACACCTGTAATCCCAACAATTTGGGAGGCCAGGGTGGGCGGATCACTTGAGGTCAGGAGTTCAAGACCAGTCTGGCTAACATGCTGAAACTCCATCTGTACTAAAACCACAAAAATTAGCCGGGCGTGGTGGCAGGCGCCTGTAATCCCAGATTACAAGAGAGGCAGGAGAATCACTTGAACCTTGGAAATGGAGGTTGCAGTGAGCTGAGATCGCGCCACTGACTCCAGCCTGCGTGACAGAGTGAGACTCCATCTCAAAAAAAAAAAAAATATATATATATATATAAAATGTATTTTATATATATATATATTTTTTTTTGGTAGAGACAGGTTCTTGAACACCTGGCTTCAAGCAATCCTCCCACCTCGGCCTCTCAAAGCCAAGGGAGCCACCATGCCTGACCTCAACCCCTATTTATTGAATAGTCCATCTTTTTCACAAAGCACCCAATGCCATCATTATCATATATTAAATTTCCATATGCATTTCTGGCTAGTCATGGAACAGTCTCTAGTCTCTATTCAAGGGCAGGTCAACACCGGAGTCTGCAGAGTTGGCTGGATTATCTGATCTGAGTCTGGGCTTGCTCTATACAGCCTCTGAACTACTCAACTCTTGGGAGAACATTGTCAGCTGCATTTGGGCTACTGGATGCTAAGAATGAGGCCCTTGATTTGGAATGAAGTCACCTTGAGGGGGTAGTGCTGCTTTGTGGCCAGTTCCCTGAGAAAGCGTATGAGATAAGGAATTAAAACCACCCAGGAAATTTTTTAAATAATTCTAAAATTTATATGAAAATAGTAATGACCTAGAATAGCCAAAATGGCAAGGCCAGTTGCAATGGCTCACATCTGTAATCCCAGTACTTTGGGAGGCCAAGGTAGGACGATTGCTTGAGTTCAAGACCAGCCTGGGCAACATAGCAAGACCCCCATCTCTACAAAACTAAAAAAATTAGCTGGAAGTGGTGGTGCACCCTTGTGGTCCCAGCTACTCTGGAGTGTGAGGCGGGAGGATTGCTTGATCCAGCCAGGAGTTTGAGGCTGCAGTGGGCTATGACCCTTTCTCAAAATAAATAAATAAATAAAGCCACATTCGTTAAGACTGTGGAGAAATAGCATAAGGATAAACAGGTAGATGTGTAGAACAGAGAGCCCAGAAATAGATTCTATACATATGGTCACTTGATTTATGACAAAGGCCCAAGTGAAATTCAGTGGAGAAAAGATTTTTTCTCCCAGTAAATGGAACCATAGGTTATGTTTTTATTTATTTATTTGGTCTGTTTGTGAGGCAAGGTCTCACTTTGTCACCCAGGAGGGAGTGCAGTCACACAATCACAGCTCACTGCAGCCTTGAACTCCTGGGCTCAAGCGATCCTCCTCCCTCAGTCTCCCGAGTAGCTGGGACTACAAACACACATCAGAATGCCCAGCTAATTTTTTCACTTTTTTGTAGAGGCAGGGGTCTTGCTATGTTACTCAGGCTAGTCTTAAACTCCTGGGCTCAAGCAATCCTCCCACCTTTGCCTTCCAAAGTGCTGGGATTATATATATGTGTGAGCCACTGTGCCCGGCCTCACACCTTAGGCAGTGTTGGGGGAGAGAACTGAGTGAGGGCTTTTCCTGGGAAATCAGACTAAAACAAAGTGATCCTAACTCTCCTCCTCTAGACACTAGGAGGGTCTCTGCAGGTGTCTGTGGGTTGAAGCTGCCCGGGGAAGGCAGCGGTGGCCCCTGGGAACTCTGCCTGGCAAACAGGCAGCCTGGAAAATGTCCCAGCATGCTCTGAGGCCTCTGGTCCAATCCCAGTCCTCCTCATGAATATGTATGAGTCCCCAGTTATCAGCTGCGGCTCTGAGCCTCTTCCTCCCTGCTCAACCCCCCACCGCTCTCTTCCCCACACAAACATCCCTCACCCTTCCTCTTCTCCTTGATAACTGTCAACATCTCTTGCTCCTTGCTTCAGAACTGATGAAATAATGTGAACATTTCAGGGCCTGAGGACATATCTAGAGTGTTTCAGGGCCTGGCACCTTGATTAGGAAACTGGCTTTTAGCAGTAGTTTCACAAATAATTCTCCAGTTAGAGATGAATATACTTGTGACTATGTGCCAATAATAATAATAATAATAAAATCAGATGAATGTCTAAAGCCCGCCTTGGAAGACCTAACTCCATCTAGAAAATAAAAGTGCGTGATGTCCTTCTGTGGCAGACACTGTCCTTTGCTCTTGCTTCCCTAATAGCTCCCTCCCTGGTTACTCCCCTGTTATTCCCTGGTTACTTCCCCTCCCAGTGTGTCAATTATCTAAGCCTCTTTGAGTAATCAGATGGCCAGCTAATGAGTGAGTGCCTGAGTCACCCTGGGGCCACTGAAAAATAAAAAAAGATGGAATTCCAAAACTTGTAGGTAGAAATTAAAAGACTGCATTGTTTTGGTTTTTAAGCCAGAGCCAGTACAGTGGCTTACACCTGTAATCCCAGCACTTTAAGAGGCTGAGGTGTGAGGATCATTTGAGACCAGGAGGTCAAGGCTGCCGTGAGCTGTGATTGTATCACTGTATTCCAGCCTGGGTGAGACCTTGCCTCAAAAAAATTTTTTTTTAATTAAAAAAAAAAAAAGCCAGGGGCCAGGTGCGGTGGCTCATGCCTGTAATCCCAGCACTTTGGGAGGCCGAGGTGGGCAGACCACGAGGTCAAGAGATCAAGACCATCCTGGCCAACATGGTGAAACCCCGTCTCTACTAAAAATAAAAAAATTAGCTGGGCGTGGTGGCGTGCGCCTGTAGTCCTAGCTATTCGGGAGGCTGAGGCAGGAGAATCACTTGAACCTGGGAGGAGGAGGTTGCCGTGAGCCAAGATCACACCACTGCATTCCAGCCTGGTGACAGAGCAAGACTCCGTCTCAAAAAAAAAAGAAGCCAGGGCTAAATAAATATTAATAAATCATGAGAGCTAGAGATATTTATGTACACACGGATGACTGGAACTTTTAATAACCAAAAGCCAAATAAAGGCAAACTCTATAGCCCATTCCGGTAATTCTACTCCTGGGTGTATACCTAACAGAAATTAACATCATATCTAACCAAGAACAAGAATATTCATACCTGGCTGAAACTAGAAACAAGCCAAATGTTCATTAACTGTAGAATGGGCTAATAAATTGTGAAGTTGTGAAGATATTCACAATTTATTAAGAATACTACATGACAATGAAAAGGAATGAACTAAGGTTATATGCAATGACATGGGTGAATATAACATTCAAGATATTGCCTGAAAAAAGTCTGACACAAAATAGTATATATTTCATCATTCTATCTGTTCCTACGGAATAGAACAGGCAAAACTATTCTTTTTTTTTTTTTTTTGAGATGGAGTCTCGCTCTGTTGCCCAAACGGGGGTGCAGTGGTACAATCTCGGCTCACTGCAACCTCTGCCTTGCGGGTTCAAGCGATTCTTTGGCCTCAAAGTCACAAGTAGCTGAGACTACAGGCATGAGCCACCATGCCCGGCCAATTTTTGTATTTTCAGTACAGACGGGGTTTCAGCATGTTGGCTAGGCTGGTTTCGAACTCCTGACCTCGTGAGCTGCTGGCCTTGGCCTCCCAGAGTGCTGGGTTAATAGGCATGAGCCACCGTGCCTGGCCGGGCATTTTCTATTTCTTGATCTGAGTGATGGTAACAGGGGTATATACAAATACAAAACTCCACTCCTAGGTGAAATTTCTCCTAGAGAAATGAAAACATACATCCATGCAGGGCTGGGTGCGGTGGCTCACGCCTGTAATCCCAGCACTTTGGGAGGCCGAGATGGGCGGATCACGAGGTCAGGAGATCGAGACCATCCTGACTAACACAGTAAAACCCTGTCTCTACTAAAAATACAAAAAAATTAGCCAGGCGTGGCGGCAGGCGCCTGTAGTCGCAGCTACTCAGGAGACTGAGGCTGGAGAATGGTGTGAACCTGGAGGCGGAGGTTGCAGTGAGCTGAGATTGCGCCACTGCACTCCAGCCTGGGTGACAGAGTGAGACTCTGTCTCAAGAAAAAAAAAAGAAAACATACATCCATGCAAAATTTGTATACGGTTGTGTAGAACAGCATTCTTGGCTGGGCAAGGTGGCTGAAGCCTGTAATCCCAGCATTTTGGGAGGCCAAGGCAGGCAGATTGCTTGAGTCCAAGAGTTCGAGACCAGCCTGCGCAGCATGAGGAAACCCCATCTCTACAAAAGATACAAAAAATTAGCTGGGTGTGCTGGCATGCACCTGTAGTTCCAGCTACTCAGGTGGCTGAGGTGGGAGAATTCCTTGATCCCGGGAAGCAGAGGTTTCAGTGAGCCGAGATTGTGCCGCCACTGCACTCCAGGCTGGGTGATCAAGGCAGACTCTGTCTCAGAAAAAAAAAAAAAAATTGAAAGAAAAGGAAAGAAATGAAGTACTGATGAATGCTATAGTATGGATGAACCTTGAAAACATCATGCTAAGTGAAATAAACCATCACAAAAGTCTCCATATTGTATGATTCCATTCATATGGAATGTCCCAAATAGGCAAATCTATGAAGAAAGAAAACTGATGGGTGATTGTCAGTCCGGGCATGGAGATGAGGGAAGTAACTGTTAATGGGCACAGTTTCTTTTGGGGATGATAAAAATGTCCAGGATCACCGGGCACAGTGGCTCACATAATCCTGGTACTTTGGGAGACCAAGGTGGGCGGATCACTTGAGGTCAGGAGTTTGAGACCAGCCTAGCCAATATGATGAAACCCCGTCTCTACTAAAAATACAAAAATTAGCTGGGCGTGGTGGCAGGTGCCTGTAGTCCCAGCTACTCGGGAGGCTAAGGCAGAAGAATCGCTTGAACCCGGGAGGCGGAGGTTGCAGTGAGCCGAGATTGCGCCACTGCACTCCAGCCTGGGCGACAGAATGAGACTCCATCTCAAAAAAAAAAAAAAATTGTCCAGGAACTAGATTGCAGTGATAGTTGCACAAATCTGTGACTATACTAAAAAATCATTGTGAAGTCTACTTTTTTTCTTTTCTTTCTTTTTTTTTTGTTTTTTGAGACAGAGTCTCAAACTCTGGGAGGCAAACTCTGCCTCCCAGGTTCAAGCGATTCTCCTGCCTCTGCCTCCCAAATAGCTGAGATTACAGGTGCCTGCCACCACACCTGGCTAATTTTTCTTTTGAGACGGAGTCTCGCTCTGTCACCCAGGCTGGAGTACAGTGGCGCAATCTCTGCTCACTGCAACCTCCACCTCCCAGGCTCAAGCGTTTCTGCTAATTCAGCCTCCCAAATCCCTGTATCTGGGATTACAGGCATACGCCACAATGCCCAGCTAATTTTTGTATTTCTAGTAGAGGCGGGGTTTCACCACGTTGGCCAGGCTGGTCTCGAACTCCTGACCTCAAGTGATTCACCTGCCTTGGCCTCCCAAAGTGCTGGGATTACAGGCATGAGCCATCGCGCCTGGCCAAAAACAATTTTTTTTTTTTGGAGGTAAAAGTTTCTCTCTCTTATCCAGGCTGGAGTGCAGTGGTGTGACCATAGCTCACTGCAGCCTTAAACTCCTGGGCTCCATTAATCTTCTCACCTCAGCCTTCCAAGCACCTGGGACTACAGGTGCGCACACTAACGCCCAGCTAATTTTTATTACTTTTAGTAGAGACGAGGTCTCCCTGTGTTGCCCAAGCTGATCTTGAACTCCTGGGCTCAAGGGATCCTCCTGCCTCAGCCTCCCAAAGTGCTGGGATTACAGGTGTGAGCTACCATGCCAGGTCCACTTTAAATGGATGAATTGTCTGATATGTGAATTATACCTTTGATAAAACTGTTACTGTTATTTAAAAAGTCCTTACACAATATACTTAAGATGTATGCACTTTATGGCGTGTACTTCTACCCCAGTCAAATTGAAAACAAAACAAAACAAAATAATAGTAGTTTCCTACCAGAGGTGTCTGAGAAGATGGGCAGAGAGGGAGAAGATATTTGGGATCGGGTGCTTGTTGGGATGCCAGGGAGCAAGGGACTTACTGCCAGAGTCGCCTCTTGGTGCACCCAAAAAAGTACCAGGAAGATGAACAGGAAGGGGCCTCAAAAGACAGAGGGAGCTGGCGAAGGGCTGAGAGAAGTGCAAAGGATGGAATGCTACAGGGTAGAAAGGAACCCAGTTTCATGAAAACCCAGTTTGATGAAAACAGATTTGGTTTTGGCCAAAAACAAAAAAATAATCCACCTTTAAATGTTTACTGTAGGCTGGGCAAGATGGCTCACACCTGTAATCCCAGCACTTTGGGAGGCTGAGGTGGAACACCTGAGATCAGGAGTTCGAGACCAGCCTGACCAACATAGTGAAACCCCATCTGTACTAAAAATACAAAAATTAGCCGGGCATGGTGGTACATGCCTGTAATCCCAGCTACTTGGGAGGCTGAGGCGGGAAAATTGCTTGAACCCAGGAGGTGGAGGTTGCAGTGAGCCGAGATCATACCACTGCACTCCAGGTTGGGTGACAGAGCGAGATTCTGTTTCTTTTTTTCCTTCTTTTTTTTTTTGAGATGGAGTTTCACTCTTGTTGCCTAGGCTGGAGTACAATGGCTTGATCTCGGCTCACCGCAACCACCGCCTCCCGGGTTTAAGTGATTCTCCCTCCTCAGCATCCCAAGTAGCTGGGATTACAGGCATGCACCACCACACCCGGCTTATTTTGTATTTTTAGTAGAGCTGGGGTTTCTCCATGTTGGTCAGGCTGGTCTCGAACTCCCGACCTCAGGTGATCCACCAGCCTCAGCTTCCCAAAGTGCTGGGATTACAGGCATGAGCCACCACGCCCAGCCAAGATTCTGTTTCAAAAAAAAAAAAAAAAAAGAGTTTATTGTAAAGCAGCACCTTGAGGTAATTCTGCAAGTAGAAATTGAGTGCCTTCCATGTGTCCGGGCTAGGCATGGGGCCAGGAATCTGTGACTCTAAGCAGCTGCTTGCTGGGATGTAAAAGTGGGAGGAAGGGAACACGTTGGCAACTAGAACCACAAGGAAAAGCTGCATTCTGTCAGGGAAGATCCCTAGCCCTTGAGCGGGGCTGAGGCTGCGGGAGGTAGAAGACAGTTCAGAACAGGGATGGGGGCGTGTTGGGGAATGGAGGAGTCATGTTGGCTTCTCAGACTGGGTAGTGACAGCTTTGGCTAGAGGAGAGGAATTTCCCTCCCCCAGCCTGGCAGGGCTCTGAGTAGGGCTGAGCTGGGAAGGGTAGGGCAACACCTCTCCCTTTGGGCTTTATCAAAATTCCACTGCAGTGAATGCTAAATCTGCCAGAGCCCAGAAGTGCCATTTAGGCCATGACACCAGAAATCCAGATTCAGTTAATTTAGTGAGTTTTTAGGGATGAGGTTGAGGTACTAGGGAATTGGGATAGTGAGGAGGTTGACCTTGAGCAGACATTCAAATTTCTAACAAGCCGGCTGGGCGCAGCGGCTCACGCCTGTAATCCTAACACTTTGGGAGGCCAAGGTGGGAGGATCATTTGAGGTCAGGAGTTCAAGACCAGCCTTACCAACATGGCGAAACCCTGTCTCTACTAAAAATACAAAAAAATAGCCAGGCATGGTGGTGGGCACCTACAGTCCCAGCTACTCGGGAGCCTGAGGCAGGAGAATCGCTTGAACCCGGCAGGCGGAGGTTGCAGTGAGCCGAGATCGCGCCACTGCACTCCAGCCTGGGCGAGAGAGTGAGACTTTGTCTCAGAAAAATAAAAAATAAGTAAATAAATAAATAAAAATAAGTTTCTAACAAACCCTTTAAAGATTCTGGTACAAGGAGGTTGGGGGGAACTCCATCTAATCCTCTCATACAGGTGACTCCTGGTAAACCAAGAAGCAGCTCTTCCTCTAACCTAATCTAAATCCTTTCTGCTGCCACTGTAATCACCCCGCCTTGCCTGCCTTTTTTGGTCAGGAATAAAATATCCCTAAACTTTTTTTATTTCTGCTGTTGGATTTAGGCCAGTGAAAATAAGGCACCCCAGGGGTTAAGTGAAATTTGAGCTTATCATTATTTCAGTTCATTCCTTGCTACCCTGGACCTTGTTGTCTCCTCCCACTGTGAACTATGAATTTAGAGGAGCTTCTGGGTCACTCAGGCAACGGAAGACAGGACTGCCATTCTCCTGTTTATTTATTCAAAATGTGTTTATACCAAGTGGATGACTATACGGAGCAACTGAAACTCTCCTACACTACTGTTGGGAACGTTTAGTTGTGCAATCACTTCGGAAAACAGTTTGGTAGTTTCTTGTAAAGTTAAAACATAGACTTACCGTATGATCCAGCAATCCCACTTCCAAGTGTTTATCTGAGAGAAATAAAAACATATATCCCCAAAGACTTGCACAAGAATGGTTACTACTGCTTAAACTAGAATCAATTTTTTTTTTTGAGATGGAGTCTTGCTCTGTCACCCAGGCTGGAGTGCAGTGGTGCCATATCAGCTCGCTGAAACCTCTGCCTCCCAGGCTCAAGCAATCTTCTCACCTTAGCCTCCCAAGTAGCTGGGACTACACGCATGAGCCACCACGCCTGGCTACATTTTTGTATTTTTTGTAGAGACAGGGTTTTGTTATGTTGCCCAGGCTGGTCTGGAACTCCTGAGCTCAGGCGATCCACCCACCTTGACCTGCCGAAGTGCTGGGATTGTGGGCGTGAGCCACCATGCCTGGCCAAAAACTAGAACCAGCTCTAATGTTTGTCAGTATAAATTGTGGCATATCCATGTGCTATGCTACTTGGCACTGAAAAGGAATAGACTTGATATTATCAACAGCATGGATAAACCTCAAAAACATTATGCTGAGTTAAAACACCTTATTCATAAAAGAACACACTATATGGTTATCTTTTTTCTTTATATATACTTAATACATTAATATACTTAATTCATATTAATACACATTTTTTCTGATTGCTTTTTAACTGTTAATGATTGTGCTTTCTTTTGAACTCCAGTAAGTTTTGTTATTAAAATGTAACATACAATGTAAAGTGCTTAAGATATAGGTGTGTAGCTTAATAACTATTTACTAATTAATCCATCTGTGTTAATCACTTTGCTGATCAAGATATAAACATTTCTAGAAAATCTTTCTCATATCTCCTTACAGGCTATATACCCTCTGAATGGAACCAGTTACTTACTTCTCTCACTTTAGGTTAATTTTCCCTGGTTTTAAACTTTATATGTTTGGAATCACACAAGTTATATTGCATATTTAAGCTAAATATTTTATCTTGTTATAAATATTGCTTTGAGACGGAGTTTTGATTTTGTTGCCCAGGCTGGAGTGCAGTGGCTCAATCTCGGCTCACTGCAACCTTCACCTCCTGGGTTCAAGCGATTCTCCTGTCTCAGCCTCCCAAGTAGCTGGGATCATAGGCGCCTGCCACCACGGCCAGCTAATTTTTGTATTTTTAGTAGAAACGGTGTTTCACCATGTTGGCCAGGCTGGTCTTGAACTCCTGACCTCAGGTGATCCACCAGCCTCTGCCTCCCAAAGTGTTGGCATTACAGGCGTGAGCCACCGCGCCCAGCCTGTTAGATGCTTTTCTTGCTTAGTACTATCTCATTAACATTTTGCAATTATATTATATTATATTATATTATATTATATTATATTATATTATATTATTTTTGAGACGGGGTCTTTCTCTGTCCCCCAGGCTGGAGTGCGGTAGCATGATCAGGGCTCACTCCAGCCCTGCCTCCTGGGCTCGAGGGATCCTTCCACCTCAGCCTCCCAAGGAGGTGGAACTACAGGTGCGTGCCACCACGCCTGGCTAATTTTTGTATTTTTTTTGTAGAGATATGGTTTCATTATATTGCCCAGGCTGGTCTCTAATTCCTGAGCTCAAGAGATCCACCCGCCTTGGCCTCCATATTTTGCAATTATAATCTGCAATGGAATCATAATTTTAAATTGCTGTATTGTTTGTAATATGTGCTTGGTTATACTTATATAATTATAAGTTGGTTTGTAATATGTGCTTGGTTATACTTATATAATTATTCTCTCCTTTATTATACATGAGGTAAGAGAAGCTCAGGGAATCCATTCAGGCAGCAAGTGGAGAAACTAGCTCTCAAACCTGCATCTCAGGCTCTCATTCTTCCACTGCAAAAAAGCAAAGTGCTCAAAAAATATGGTCACAGATCTGCAGAAGTCTTGCACAAGGGCATTATCATAGCAATAAGAATGACTAATAAGTATTAACGGCCCATGAGAAAAGAACAAATACCATTAATTATCTCAATATATTAAGCATATTAGTAATGTTTGTACAGAATTATTCATGCAAATATTATTAGCCTGTGTCGGGGACAGTTGCTAAACTCAGCAACAGGCTCACAGCTCAGCTTCGTGCCTCTGGTTCCAGATGTGCAGGGGCCAGGGCTTCCAGGGACACGCCCCCGTGGGCCTCCAGGGAGCCAATCGACGCGCAGAAGGCGGGGCCCTGGGAGCGACAACGGTGTTATCCAATGGGCCGACAGCTGGAGCCGCCCCTGGCCAATGGGCGCGCTCCTCCGCGATGGGCGGAAGTGGTGAGGCAGCTCTGAGGGCCGTTGTTCAGTGCGGGGTCTGACAGAGGAGGCTCCGTGTCTGCAGCTAGTGTGTCAACTCAGCGTTTCTCCTCTCGTCCCTGGTGAGGTGTAGCGGCGGCACGCGGCTGGAGATCCCCTGTGGCCTCCAGTTTAGGAAGGGTCCAGCATCCCAAGGGAGGGGTGTGTGGGCGAGGGGTCTCTGGGCCCGGGGTCGCGGCTGTGAGGAGAGGATGCCCGCGCGGCGGCATCTCAGGCACCTGGAGGAGGCCGCGCTTTCTCCTCAGGGAACCGGCGCCTTGGCAGCCCCCGGCGACGCCGCCCCCTTCGCGGCCTAGGTTGGTCTGGTGAGCCGGGAAGCGGGCGTCGTTCGCAGCGCCGCTGTGACCACCGCGTCCCGGGCGGAGCTGGGCTCAGTGCCGGCCTGGGCCTAGAGTCCGAGCCTCGAGCTGCCGGCGTGGGGGGTCGCGAGTGGCCTAATGCGGCCTCGAAGCCGAAGGACCCGAGTCCGAGCTCGCACTCCGACCCGCTGGTGCTGTGGAAAACTCAGGTGGCCTTCCGCTTTCGTAGCCTCTAAAGTGGGGACCAAGACTTTCACCTCTTAGGATTGTAGTCGGGATTAAAAGATTTTCCCGGTAAGCGTTTGGCAACTGCTATTATTTGAGAAGCCGCTTACTTCTTCACTCCCCATCACCGACCTTCCTGGGGACGGGGGCGATTGGAAACTGCCTTGGGGTATCTGGACCCGGCAGGGGAAGCTCCGCCGCCTCGGGCAGAGGGACGGTCCCCTCTGCGGACTAGAGAGATCTAGCTGACCCCCAACAGGCTCCTTATAAGCTTGAAGACTTTTCTGTGCCTCAACTCTTCCGTGCATTCGCCCGTTTCCTTGACCCTTTGAAGTATTGTCAGTCCTCTGCCTGAAGAATCTGAGGCCCAGAGAGGTTAAATCTGGCAGAACCAGCCAGACCTTGACCCCCAGAGGGGGACCCTGCAGGCTACCCCCAGTCTCCTTGCATCTAGAAAAGCAAGCACCTGCTACATCTGAGCTCTGGCCTTAGAGTTGGCCAGAGTGGGCTGGAATAGAGCACACCTGAAATCAGTCGGACAGCCTTCCTTAGTTGCCATTTCATATCAGAGTGAATATCTTTTTTTTTTTTTGAGATGGAGTCACCTTCTGTTGTTCAGGTTGGAGTGCAGTGGCGAGATCTCAGCTCACTGCAGCCTCCGCCTCCTGGGTTTAAGTGATTCTCTTGCCTCAGCCTCCTGAGTAGCTGGGATACAAGCGCCCGTCACCACGCCCAACTAATTTTTGTATTTTTAGTAGAGACTTGGTTTTGCCATGTTGGCCAGGCTGGTCTCGAACCCCAGACCTCCAGTGATCTGCCCACCTCGCCCTCCCAAAGTGCTGGGATTACAGGCGTGAGCTGCTGCGCCCAGCCCAGAATGGGTGTCTTGAATTATGTCATTCCCTAGTTTAAAGCCCTTCAGTGGTTTACCATTGAGCTTGGAATCGAATCCAATATTCTTTCTGTCTGATATGACAAGACCTTCTTGAGTCATTCCCCTTTTTTATTATGCTCTTCCAGATCTGCCTTTACTTTCTCTTTCATTGCTTTTAGGCCTTTTGCCCTTCCCACTGCCTGGATGGATTTCCCCGCATTCCCATCCTCTATCTTTGTCTTTTCGTGGTTGGCTCTTGTACTTCAGTTCTTAATTTAAATGTCGTCTCCCCAGAAAGTTCTTCCCTGACCACTCTTATCTACCTAAAGTAGATTTGCCTCTATTCCGCCCCCATTTATTTGTCAGTATACTTTTCCATCACAATACTCAAGTTATATGTATTTTTTTGCTTATTGTTTTTCTCTACCACTAAATCGCTTTATCAGAGACTATATTTCCTTATTTTGTAAAGTATTTTTAGTGCCAGGGCACAGTGGCACACAGTATGGTCTTCTTTTTCTTTGAGACAGGGTCTCACTCTGTCACCCCGGCTGGAGTGCAGTGGTGTGATCACAACTCACTCACTGTAGCCTCGACCTCCTGGGCTCAAGCCTCCCAAGTAGCTGGGACTACCTCAGCCTCCCACCCCAGCCTCCCAAGTAGCTGAGATTACAGGCATGTGCCACCATACCCACCTAATTTTTTGCTTTTTTGTTTTTTGTTTTTTTTGAGAGGGAGTCTCGCTCTGTCGCCCAGGCTGGAGTGCAGTGGCGTGATCTCGGCTCACTGCAAGCTCTTTTTAGTAGAGACTGGGTTTCACCATGTTAGGCAGGATGGTCTCGATCTCCTGACCTTGTGATCCACCTGTCTCGGCCTCCCAAAGTGCTGGGATTACAGGCATGAACCACCGCACCCGGCTGCTTATTTTTTATAAAGGCAGGGTCTTACTATGTTTCCTGGCTGGCCTTGAACTCCTGAGCTCAAGTGATCCACCCACCCCAGCCTTCCAGAGTGCTGGGATTACAGGTGTGAGACACTGCACCTGGCCCACAGTATTGTCCTTTTTTTTTTTATTTTTATTTTTTGAGACAGAGGCTCACTCTGTTGCCCAGGCTGGGGTGCAGTGGTGTGATCCTGGCTTACTGCAACCTCCACCTCCCGGGTTCAAGCAATTCTGCTTCAGCCTCCCTAGTAGCTGGGACTACAGGCACCCGGCTAATTTTTTTATTTTTAGTAGAGAGGTGTTTCGCCATGCTGGCCAGGCTGGTCTTGAACTCCTGACCTCAAGTGATCCGCCCACCTCAGCCTCCCAAAGTGCTGGGATTACAGGCATGAGCCACTGGACCCAGCCTCAAAGTATTGTCTTAATTAAGCATGTTGAACAAATGACTAAATACATGTTTTGAAAAGTGGCAACTCGCTTGATAATGCCAAAACCTTTAAAGAACCCTACTGGGGGCAGGATTTAAGACCATTTTTGTATCATGGAAAGGAATAATCTAAACTAAACAATGGTAGTAAAGTTGCCAGTGCTTTGCTTTCTGCATTGACATCTTGTTTAAAAAGCAGGAGAAACTTTATAGTGAAGAAATTTGGCAGACACCATATCAACTATGTGATCATGGTTTACATCAATAGTAAAATAAGACTGTTGACATCATGTACCTTCTGATATAAGGCACTGAGATGAGCACAACATGATTTCTATGGTGTTCTTGCCAAAAATATATAACCTGAATTTAATCATGAGAAAATATCAGACAAACCCAAATTGAAGGATATTATATAAAATAACTAGCTGGCTGGGCACGGTGACTCATGCCTGTAATCCCAGCACTTTGGGAGGCTGAGGCTGGCTGGTGGATCATATGAGGTCAGGAGTTTGAGACCAGCCTGGTCAACATGGTGAAACTCCATCTCTACTGAAAATACAAAAATTAGCTGGGCATGGTGGTGCACACCTGTGGTCCCAGCTACTCAGGAGGCTGAGGTCGAGGTTGCAGTGAGCCGAGATCGCAGTGAGCCGAGATCGCACCACTGCACTCCAGCCTAGACAGCAGAGTGAGACTCTGTTTAAAAAAAAAAAAAAAAAAAAAGCCAGTATGCTTAACAAGGTCATGAAAGAGAAGGAAAGACTGAAGAACTCTCCCAAATCAAAGGAGATTAACTACAAGTAATAGCCAAATGCAGTGTGTGATCCTAGATTGAATGCTGAACCAGAAAAAGGGTGGGATGGTGATTTTTTTTTTTTTTTTTTTTTTTTTTGAGACAGGATCTCACTCTGTCACCCAGGCTAGGGTGCAGTGGTACAATCACTGCTCACTGCAGCTTTGACCTCCTGGGCTTAAGTGATCTTCCCATCTCAGCCTTCTGAGTAGTTGGGACCACAGGTGTGTGCCACCACGTCTGGCTAATTTTTAAATTGTTTGTAGAGAAGGGTTTCACCATGTTGCCCAGGCTGATCTTAAACTCCTGGGTTCAAGCGATCCTCTTCAGCTCAGCCTCCCAAAGTTCTGGGAGTACAGGCATGAGCCCCTGTGCCTGACTTGTTGGTGAAATTTGAATGAATTCTATAGATTAGTTACTAGTATTGTATTAGTGTTAATTTCCTCTATTTGATAATTTTACTATTGTTATGATGCTTTTAGGGTAATTGGATGAAGTCTGTAAGGGATGTTATTTTATTTTTATTTATTTATTTATTTTTGAGACGGAGTCTTACTCTGTCGCTAGGGTGGAGTGCAGTGGCACGATCTTGGCTCACTGCAACTTCTGACTCCCTGGTTGAAGCGATTCTCCTGCCTCAGCCTCGCGAGTAGCTGGGATTACAGGCATGCGCCACCACACCCAGCTAATTTTTGTATTTTTAGTAGAGATGGGGGTTTCACCATGTTGGCTAGGATGGTCTCGATCTCCTGACCTTGTGATCTGCCTGCCTCGGCCTCCCTAAGTCCTGGGATTACAGGTGTGAGCCACTGCGCCTGGCCAGGATGTTATTATTATTATTATTTTTGAGACAGGGTCTCACTCTGTCACCCAGGCTGGAGTGCAGTGGCATGATCATGGCTCTCTGCAGCCTTAAACTCCTAGGCTTAAGCATTCCTCTTGCACATTCCTCCTGCCTCGGCCTCTCGAGTAGCTGGGACTACAGGCACACATCACCATGCCTGGGTAATTTTTTTTTTTTGTATTTTTTGTAGACATGACGTTACCCCATGTTGTGGCCAGGTTGGTCTTAAACTCCTGGGCTCAAGTGATCCGCCTGCCTCGGCCTCCCAAAGTACTGAGATTACAGGCATGAGCCACTGTACCCAGCCTAGTAAAAGTATTTTATTTTATTATTTTTATTTTTTAAAACTCCCTTATCCAATAAAATTATTTTAAATTGAAAATTTTAAAATAAGAAAATCCCAAGGGACTGGATATTGAATAAAATGCTTTAACATGCAGGTTTGGGTGACAGTTTCTGTATACTAGTTTTTTATTTGTTTTTTTGCATGTCATCTTTAAAGCAGAAATGAAAGAGAAAGTTCATGTCTTCCTTTGTGGTTTTCAGGAAGAGCTAAAGATGGCTGAATTTCTAGATGACCAGGAAACTCGACTGTGTGACAACTGGTAAGACATTAAATCTAAGAAATGTTAGTGGAATGAGGACAGTCAAGCTTAATCACTATCATTTCCTGATTTAAAAACTGTTAGTGAAGACTGGCACAGTCTTGAGTTAAGCTTTCTATTTTGGTGTTTATAACCCACATGAATTACAAGAAAGAGCATCTCTTTCCTGATGAAATGAAACCGGTTGTAAAGTTAATAATCAGCTGGTTCCTGTTGGGGTTTTCCTAAGAACTTATCTTGGTATCTTGGTGCTATACAAGTGCTGTTACTGTAAGCTGACAAAAAAAGCAAAGCAGAACTGTCTGCTATGTTTATTACTTTATTTTCCTTCACTGGGTACTTCTTTCACAATGTGCTATGTTTACCTTAGCAAACTGTGGTAGAAAGAGATGTGGAATAAGGAAAATAGTTTAACTCATTGGTGGAATATTTGAGCCAAATAACATTTTTGTCATCATCGTTGTCTTTTTCTTTCTTCTCAGCCTAACTTTGGCAGAATTAGAATATAATTAGAGCAACAGCTGGTTACAATATTCTTTACCTGCTTGGAATTAAGATTTCATCTCATTGTAGGTGTCTTGCCATATTGTAGAGTATTTCTGCTATGCCACTATCACTTTCTACCATTTCATAAACTATTTTAGTTTTGTTTGGGTTTTATATGTATAGCTACTGAAACAGAGTAATCAGAAACAAATAATCAAAAGAAAACATGATTTTGTAAGAAAAGAGACACATTGGTTTTTAGCATTAGTTAAGATACACCTATTTTATCAGTCCACTCCAATTAGGAGGAATCTCAAGCCTAGGACAAAATATAAATAACTATGCTAAGAGAGTTAAAGGGTGAGTTAATGGAAAGCTAGTGAAAAACAATGCTATTCAAAGCCAAAGAAATTAAAGAAAAAAGCAGATTAGCATAGAAGGCTGACTAAACCTGTAAAGAATTAATTTCTGGCTGTTTGTGTTTAGTGTTTGGAAAGTTCTTGGGAATTTTTCTGGAAGCTTTGGTTTGCCTTTCAGCTATTTCTATCTAAATGAAATTTCACCTCTAATTTGCTAGCCCTTCCTTGAGACTTTTAGCAGTTTTATCTGGATACGGAATTGTGTGCTCATTTATCTCACTTAAAACATCTTCATTTTCTCCGAAGGTAGGAAGTAAGCATATTAGTATTTGGTCTGGTTGGAATGTTTGGTAGGAATATGTTGGCAGTTAAATTTTAAAAGAAAAAAACCCAGCAGGCAACTGTTTTATATAATTGTTGCAAATATCTTTTTTATTTCAGCATTTCCTAAGAGGTGAATATGTGCAATAGTAAATGCTTTGTGGTCTTACTTGACAGCTGCTTTTGATTCTTGTTGCTTCATATTATGATGGTGTGGTCCTTAATATTTTTTGTTTTAATTCTAAAGTTTTAGGGGCCTTGTGTATGTAGTATGTCAACAAGTTATCCTGAACAGCCTTGTAAAGTAAATGCTAGACATTTAGTGTCTCCATATTTACCATTAAAATAAAAATTATTGCCAATATTATGAAAAAGGAACCCAGGTTTTCTACACCCTAAGCAGTAATTACTGGCTTTAATTTTCATGGCATTTGTACATACATGATTTACAATCACAATATAACATTTCTTCTTTCACTTTGTTGGTATACTATATGTAACTTAGCTATTCCTTTCTTGCTTAGGTATTTTTAATGACTTTCATTTTTTACCATTCTATGATACTGTAATGAAAATATTCATACATAATCCCAAGAGTAGGATTATTGTGTTACAGAGTATATAATTTTATGGTCCTAGAAATGAATTTTCAGACTGTTTTTAGGCAGTTTATACTACCACCAGTAATGTATTAAAGTATTCATTTCACAACATCTTTAAAAAGTTGGGATGTATTATTTTAACTAAATTAATTCAAAATGAGTAGTTTCCTTAGAAAGCTAAAAATTTGAGAGAAATATGGGAAGTTAAATCTGTCAGTAATTTTCCTCTTTATCCATTTGAGTTTTCTTCCCATCTCTCACAGTTGATTGTTCTGTCACCTTCCAGTGCTGCTTTGAGAGCTGCCTTGGGGTCCCTAGCTTGATAATTCCACCACTGGATGAAAATGAATTTGCACTTCCTTGGTGTCTTGGTCTTTCAGTTTGGAAGAATGACTATAGCTGGAGGCACATCATTTATCCTACTTCAAAATGTTTCTTAGACAATGTCTGAATATTAAAGGTTATTAAAAGAGAAATAAGCTATTTATAATTTAGTATGGGAGACAGTTCTTCTAGTATTCAGCTTCAGAGGCAAAATATGGTATTAAATAATGTGTTTTATGACTATCTGTATTGATCCTGTTCAGTATTTTATTTTTCTGAATTATTGTTATACGTACCTTCTTTAATGTAGTTTTTAGCTGGTGAAATTGGAATTTTACAATGGTCCTATCCAAATAAGTAAAAGTAAGGCCTTTGAATAGAATGTACCTTTAGTTCGAGTACATGTATAATCTTTTCATGTTTAAATGGTCTTACTCTTTCATGTAACATTATCACTTTACCTCCTTAATTTGTATAGCTTAGATATGATCTTTGAACCACTAAACTAAGTGAGAAAGGCAAAAATGAAGTGGAGAGACCAGACTGGTGGAGGAAAGGGTTCAGGATTTCATTTTTGTACAGCTTTACAGTGAAGTTTCTACCAACCCAGCCAGAGAGCATGTTCCTGTAGTCAGGAAGCATCCAGCCTGCTTCGAAAGGCATGTGAGGCATACAGGAGACAATTTCCCCTTCCCCTTTGACTGTCCAAAAGCTGGAGTCTTCTCTTTTTGGTTTGACTTTTCATGGAATAAAATCCAATGAAATTAAACTACTTAAAAGTGAGAGAAAATCAGTGGTAGGGTGTTTTTTCACTTGTTTTTGTTGTTGTTTTGGTTTGTTTTCTGTTTTAAAATAATCCTGGAGCGTATCACTCTGCTTTGGGACATGGATGGTTTTGGAATAGCCTAGCTCCACTCTTTTTGGCATCTGACTTCATGTTGTGATCAGCTCTGACTTTGAGAAAGTAAGGCTGAGCTTTTAGATGTAGTAGTGCATAGCACCGGTAACTCAGAATGTTGCACAGAAGAGCCTTCAGGATTTAGTTCTTTTTTTTTTTTTTTTTGATACGGAATCTTGCTATCCCCGAGGCTGGAGTGCAGTGGCATGATCTCAGCTTTCTGCAACCTCTGCCTCCCGGGTTCAAGTGATTCTCCTGCCTCAGCCTCCCGAGTAATTGGGATTACAGGTACCCGCCACCACACCTGGTTAATTTTTTATATTTTTGGTAGAAGCGGGGTTTCACCATGTTGGCTAGGCTGGTCTTGAACTCCTAACTTCAAGTGATCTGCTTGCCTCAGCCTCCCAATGTGCTGGCGTTACTGCACCTGGAAAGGATTTAATTTTTTTTTTTTTTTTTTTTTTTTTTGAGACAGAGTTTTGCTCTTGTTGCCCAGGCTGGAGTGCAATGGCACGATCTAGGCTCACTGCATCTTCCGCCTCCCGGGTTCAAGCGATTCTCCTGCCTCAGCCTCCTGAGTAGCTGAGATTACAGGCATGTGCCGCCACACCTGGCTAATTTTGTATTTTTAGTAGAGACGGGGTTTCACCATGTTGGCCAGGCTGATCTCGAACTCCTGACCTCAGGTGATCTGCCCGCCTCAGCCTCTCAAAGTGCTGGGATTACAGGCGTGAGCCACGGCGCCCGGCCAGTTTTTTTTTTTTTTTTTTATAGCAACCTCTGCCTCCTGGGTTCAAGCGATTCTCCTGCCTCAGCCTCCCGAGTAGCTGGGATTACAGGTGCCCGCCATCACGCCTGGCTAATTTTTATATTTTTAGTAGAGATGGGGTTTCACCATGTTGGCCAGGTTGGTCTCGAACGCCTGACCTCAGGTGATCCGCCTGCCTCGGCTTCCCAAAGTGCTGAGATTACAGGCATGAGCCACCGCGCCTGGCCAGGATTTAGTTCTTGAAAAGCAGGAATGGTAATAGTCATGAGTTTGTAGGCTAGGTATTCACTAAAGATAAATAATGGAGACTAAAGATTGGACAGGACAGATTTCCATGTGATGCCACTGTGCAAGAAAAGGCATAGATTAGTCAGTAATGCTTGCCTTTTTCTTTGGTCTATTTCCGTAGCAAAAAAGAAATTCCTGTGTTTAACTTTACCATCCATGAGATCCACTGTCAAAGGAACATTGGTATGTGTCCTACCTGTAAGGAACCATTTCCCAAATCTGACATGGAGACTCACATGGCTGCAGAACACTGTCAGGTGAGCCACCAAGTACTCAAATGTTTATACATGTGTTATACTTGCTGTTGTTCGTAAATGTATTCTGTTTGCTATTGTGCAATAGCAAATGAGCATATTGTCCCAAAGCCAATTTACTGATTCTCACTTCTTACTCTAGGTGACCTGCAAATGTAACAAGAAGTTGGAGAAGAGGCTGTTAAAGAAGCATGAGGTTAGTCCATGGAGTGAGTTACCGTGGGCCCAGTCCTGCTGAGATTACAGACCCACATGCAGAGCAGGAAGCCAGTCTGGTTGAGTGTTAGTTCTCCGTGAGCTCACATGCATACTGTTTCTCAAAGCCTGTTTGAGGCCTTGACTATGTAACTGCTGCCAGATTCGGCTACCTGGCTGTTGGAACTCACTTGTGTATGTTGAGACTCGCGAAGTATCTCCCTTTGGAACTGAGTCTATTATTTCTGTTGGGGTTTGGTTATTGGCAGCCTCACTGAATATGAAGCCAGCCCTAGAGTTGCCAGTATGGGATAACCTCTTTAGCACACAGCCTGCCTTACAAGCTGTCATTTCATTTAAAATTCTTTTTTGTTTGTTTGTTTTTTGAGACGGAGTCTTGTTCTGTTGCCCAGGCTGGAGTGCAGTGGTGTGATCTCGGCTTACTGCAACCTCTGCCTCCCAGGTTCAAGCAATTCTCCTGCCTCGGCCTCCTGAGTAGCTGGGATTATAGGCGCCCACCACCACTCCCAGCTAATTATTAGTAGAGACGGGATTTCACCATGTTGGCCTGACCTTGTGATCTGCCTGTCTTCAGCCTCCCAAAGTGCTGGGATTACAGGCGTGAGCCACCACATCTGGCTTCATTTTAAAATCTTGAACACCTGGATAACATGCTATTTAACCTAAGAAATTCCTCAGCATTTGGTGAGAGAGAATAGAGTATCATTTGCTCGCTAGTTGAGATAAAACTGGCCAAAGGTTTTTTTTTTTTTTTTTTTAAATACAGACAGGGTCGGCTGGGCATGGTGGCTCATGCCTGTAATCCCAGCACTTTGAGAGGCAGAGGTGGGCAGATCACTTGAGGTCAGAGTTTGAGACCAGCCTGGCCAACATGGTGAAACCCTGTCTCTGTTAAAAATACAACAATTAGCTGGGCGTGGAGGTGTGTGCTACTTGGGAGGCTGAGGCACGAGAATCGCTTGAATCCGGAAGGCAGAGGTTGCAGTGAGCCGAGATCGCGCCACTGCACTCCAGCCTGGATGACAGGGTGAGACTACATCTCAAAAAAAAAAAACCCAAAAAATAGAGACAGGTGTTGTCTCTATTGCTGTGTTGCACAGGTTGGTCTTGAACTCCTGGGCTCAAGTGGTCCTCCTGCCTCAGCCTCCCAAAGTGCTAGGATTACAGGCATGAGCCACTGTACTCAGCCCAAAGTTTTTTTTTTTTTTTTGAGATGGAATCTTGTTCCCGTCTTGCAGGCTGGAGTGCGGTGGTGCAGTCTTGGCTCACTGTAACCTCCACCTCCCAGGTTCAAGCGATTCTCCTTCCTCAGCCTCCTGAGTAGCTGGGGTTATAGGCGTGCTCTACCATGCCTGGCTAATTTTTTTTGTATTTTTAGTAGAGACAGGATTTTGCCATGTTGGCCAGGGTGATCTTGAACTCCTGACCTCAGGTGATCCACCCACCTTGGCCCCTCAAGGTGCTAGGATTAAAGGCGTGAGCCACCATGCCCGGTCATTTTTCTTTTTTTTAATTAAAAACCTTTTTTAAGAGACACAGTCTCACTCTGTCACCCAGGCTAGCATGCAATGGCATGATCATAACTCACTGCAGCCTCGAATTCTTGGGCTCAAATGATCTACCTGCATAGGTGGTACTACAGGTATAGGCCTCTATGCCTGACTAATTTTATTTATTTTTGTTTTTCATAGAGTTGGGGTCTTGTTATGTTGCCCAGGCTAGTCTCGAACTCTTGGCCTCAAGTGATCCTCCCTTCTTGGCTTTCCCAAATGTCGAGATTACAGGCGTGAGCTATGGCATCTGGCCAAAACTGGCCAACGTTGAATGAGTATGTTAATTCACCAATTTAAAAATCCAGCCGGGCGTGATGGCTGATGCCTGTAATCCCAGCACTTTGGGAGGCTGAGGTGGGTGGATCACAGGGTCAGGAGTTCGAGACCAGCCTGGCCAATATGGTGAAACCCCGTCTCTACTAAAAATACAAAAATTAGCTGGGCGTGGATACGCACGTCTGAAATCCCAGCTACTCAGAAGGCTGAGGCAGGAGAATTGCTTGAACCTGGGAGGTGGAGGTTGCAGTGAGCCGAGATCGTGCCATTGCACTCCAGCCTGGGTGACAGGGTGAGACTCCATCTAAAACAAACAAAAAAAAACTGGCTCACCTTGTTTTCAAGTGTTGACATAAACAGTCAAAAGCACCACTCAGTCTTTTATAATGCAAGTGAAATCAGTGCTGTGCCCCTTCAAGGAACCACGTGACAGTTTGTTCAGTTGAGCACAAGTTCCTTGCAGGAACAGTTGCTGGCAGAAGGGCTGTGTCTACAGCCCATGTGGAACCAAGGACAGTTTTCCCATTCAGTAGGGAGCATCCCTCAGCCTTGATCTTCATTTCTTGGCTGGGCGCAGTGGCTCACGCCTGTAATCCCAGCACTTTGGGAGGCTGAGGCGGGCGGATCACGAGGTCAGAAGATTGAGACCATCCTGGCTAATACGGTGAAACCCCGTCTCTACTAAAAATACATAAAATTAGCTGGGCGTGGTGGCGGGCGCCTATAGTCCCAGCTACTTGGGAGGCTGAGGCAGGAGAATGGCGTGAACCCGGGAGGCGGAGCTTGCAGTAAGCCGAGGTTGCGCTACTGCACTTCAGTCAGGGCGACAGAGCGAGACTCCGTCTAAAAAAATAAATAAATAAAAATAAATAAATAAAAATCCAAACAGCTGTTTATATGGTAGTTATAGAAGAGTGGATATACATATGTAAAAATTCACCAAGGTATATACTTAAAGATTTGTGCATTTCATTCTGTGTGCCTCAAACTGTAACAACTTGATTTTATTAATTTATAATTAAATTACCCTTAAAGGTAATTCACAGCGGGCTACAGTGACTCATGCCTGTATCCTAGCACTTTGGGAGGCCAAGGCGAGAGCATTGCTTAAACCAAAGAGTTCAAGACCAGTCTAGGCAATATCGTGAGACCCCTATCTCTACAAAAAACTAAAAAATTAGCTGGGAATGGTGGTCCGTTCCTGTAGTCCCAATTGCTCGAGGGGCTGAGGTACGATATTGTTTGAGCCTGGAGGTTGAGGCTGCAGTGAGCCCTGTTTGTGCCACTGCATTCCAGCCTAGGCGACAAAGTAAGACCCTGTTTCAAAAAAATAAAAATAAAAATAAAAAGGTAGGCCAGGCGCAATGACTCAGCCTGTAATCCCAGCACTTTTGGAGGCAGAGGAGGGCGGGTCACTTGAGGTCAGAAGTTCAAGACCAGCCTGGTCAACATGGTGAAACCCCATCTCTACTAAAAATACAGAAATTAGCCAGGCATGGTGCCGCATGCCTGTAATTCCAGCTACTCGGGAGGCTGAGGCAGGATAATTGCTTGAACCTGTGAGGCAGAGGTTGCAGTGAGCCAAGATCACACCACTGCACTCCAGCCTGGGCAACAGAGTGAGACTGTCTCAAAAAAAAACAAAAACAAAAACAAAAAATGCTGGGCGTGGTGGCTCACGCCTGTAATCCCAGCACTTCGGGAGGCTGAGGCAGGCAGATCACATGAGGTCAAGAGTTCAAGACCAGACTGGCCAAAGTGGTGAAACCCCATCTCTACTAAAAATACAAAAATTAGCCAGGTGTGGTGGTAGGCTCCTGTAATCCCAGCTACTTGGGAGGCTGAGGCAGGAGAATTGCTTGAACCCAGGAGGCAGAGGTTGCACTGAGTCGAAATCATGCCATTGTACTCCAGCCTGGGCAACAGAAGCGAACTCCGTCTCAAAAAAAAAAAAAAAAAAATTAAACTAAAGTTCTATTCTAAATGCTACTCCAACATTTTCAGCACTGTTTGTATATACATGAACTACCTCTTGCAGGAAACACAATAAATTGATAAAAAGGCCTTAGGTAGCAGAGGAACAGGGGAGAAGAGACATGATTTTTACATATATCCTTTTTGGGCTTTAAAATTGTATACCAGCTGTGCACAGTGGCTCACGCCTGTAATCCCAGCACTTTGGAAGGCCAAGGTAGGAGGACTGCTTGAGCCTAGGAGTTTTGAGATCAACCTGGGCAACATAAGGAGACCCTTGTCTCTACAAAATAAAAAATAAAACAAAAAACCTAGCTAGGCATGATGGCATATACCTGTGGTCCCAGCTACTTGGGAGGCTGAGGTGGGAGGATTGCTTGAGCCCAGGAGGTCAAGGCTGCGGTAAGCCATGATCGTACCACTGCACTCCAGCCTGGGTGACACTGAGATCCTGTCTCAAAAAAAAGAAAAGAAAAATTAAAATTAAAAAATAAAATTTGATACCATGTAGATATAATGCCAATTCAGAAAGTTTTTTTTCAAAAGCTTTTTTTTTTTGTTTTCCACTCTGTCACCTAGGCTGGAGTGCAGTGGTGTTATCCCAGCTCACTGCAACCTCCACCTCCCGGGTTCAAGCAATTCTCCTGCCTCAGCCTCCCGAGTAGCTGGGAGTACAGGTGAATGCCACCACACCCTGCTAATTTTTGTATTTTTGGTAGAGTGGGGTTTCACCATGTTGGTCAGGCTGGTCTTGAACTCCTAACTTCAGGTGATCTGCCTGCCTTGGCCTCCCAAAGTGCTGGGATTACAGGCGTGGGCCATTGCCCAGGTCCCAAAGTTCTTTTATTAGATAAATAACACGGATTTGCTAGGAGTAGTGGCTCATACCATTTGAGGATGGGAGTTTGAGACCAACTTGGCTAACGTGGTGAAACCCCTTCGGTGCTAAAAATACAAAAAAATTAGCTGGGTGTGGTGGCACGCACCTGTGGTCCCAAGCAACTCAGGAAGCTGAGGCACAAGGATTGCTTGAACCCGAGAGGTGAAGGTTGTAGTGAGCTGAGATTGCACCATGCACTCCATGCACACCACTCTGTCGCTGGGCGACAGCAAGACTTTCTCAAAAAATAATAATAATAAATGAAAAATAAAGCCTGTGCTAAATACAAATATGAAGGTTAGAGAAACCTGTGTCTTTCTAAAGTGCAGTTTCTTTTCCTCATTATTAGGTACTTAAGACTGAATTGGAGGCCGGGCGTGGTGGCTCAAGCCTGTAATCCCAGCACTTTGGGAGGCTGAGGCGGGCGGATCACAAGGTCAGAAGTTCAAGACCAGCCTGGCCAACATAGTGAAACCCCGTCTCTACTAAAAATACAAAAAATTAAGTGGGTGTGGTGGTGTGTGCCTGAAATCCCAGCTACTCAGGAGGCTGAGGCAGGAGAATCGTGTGAACCTGGGAGGCAGAGGTCGCAATGAGCCAAGATTGCGCCATTGCACTCCAGCCTGGGCGACAGTGCGAGACACTGTCTCAAAAAAAAAAAAAAAAAAAGACTGAATTGGAATAGTTGGTAGGGGACAGGGACATTGGAGCTTTGACAAACATCTGACTTGCTATGATTCTTGTTATTTGCTCCTGGGCTTCTCTGGCTGGTTTTAGATTACTAAGTAATGTGTGCACAAAACAATATGATAGTTAGGGTGGCTGAGTAGTGGGCTCCCTCTAATATTTTATTTTCCTTTATAGAACATTGTGGCAGGAACAAAAGGGGAAGCTGTGACTCTTAAATAATTAAATACATTAAAAAAGGGTAGGAGAATCAAGGGTTGGAAGAGAAGATTGCAGTAGATACTCTTGGCTTTCCTTGCCCTATACTAAAACACACCTCTCCTAGATATGCATATTAACTGCCTCATTCCTCTGTTTTGTAGGAGACTGAGTGCCCTTTGCGGCTTGCTGTCTGCCAGCACTGTGATTTAGAACTTTCCATTCTCAAACTGAAGGAACATGAAGATTATTGTGGTGCCCGGACGGAACTATGTGGCAACTGTGGTCGCAATGTCCTTGTGAAAGATCTGAAGACTCACCCTGAAGTTTGTGGGAGAGAGGGGGAGGAAAAGAGAAATGAGGTTGCCATACCTCCTAATGCATATGATGAATCTTGGGGTCAGGATGGAATCTGGATTGCATCCCAACTCCTCAGACAAATTGAGGCTCTGGACCCACCCATGAGGCTGCCGCGAAGGCCCCTGAGAGCCTTTGAATCAGATGTTTTCCACAATAGAACTACCAACCAAAGGAACATTACAGCCCAGGTTTCAATTCAGAATAATCTGTGTGAGTTGTGCTTGGGATTAGGGAACTAGAATGGTATCAAAATCCCAAGGCAAATGGGAACAGGGCTTTGGGGCCAGATAGATCTTGATTATAGAAACCCGACTGTAGCTGAGTAACACTGGGAAGAATACCTCTCTTTCCTATAAAATGGAAATAACCTCCATTGGATTATAGTTAGGGTTCATAATGGTGAGTATGATGACAGTGTTGTAAATAGCCAACACTTATACAGATTGAGTATCCCTTATCCAAAATACTTGGGGCCAGAAGTGGTTTGGCTTTTGAAGTATTTGCATTATATATACTGGATGAGCATCTCAAATCTGAGAATCTGAAATCCAAAATGTTCCAGTGAGCATTTTCTTTGAGAGCCATATTGATGCCCAAAAAGTTTCAAATTTTGGATTTTTGGATTGGTATGCTCAACCTGTATCTTATTTCCCTTAGGCATTTGCAAAGTGCTTTATACGTATTAACTCATTTAATTCTCTCATTATTTGAAGGTAGGTAAATTTGAAGGTAGAACTGAGATTTGAATTCAGATAATCTGACCTCGTGCTTTAAACCATTCTACTGTAATTCAGAAAATAAGTATAAAATGTTTAGCACAGTGCCTGTCTCATAATTATGGCTCAGTAATATTGCTTAATAATACAGTTAGAATAATAATGGAGCCTTTTCACAGGGCAGACTTTAATGTTCAAAGCTAGGAGACCCAGAGGGTGAAGAGAGCTAGTTGAACATGGTCATTTTTATTCCTTCCCGGATGCCTGTAAACCTTGACTATTTGCTAGGCATGGACTTGAGTTGAGGGTGGTAACATTTCTAATGTATCCTGAATGTTGGTTGGTTTTTTTTTTTCAGTTGAAGAACAAGAGAGGCAGGAAAGGAATAGAGGCCAACAGCCCCCCAAAGAGGGTGGTGAAGAGAGTGCAAACTTGGACTTCATGTTGGCCCTAAGTCTGCAAAATGAAGGCCAAGCCTCCAGTGTGGCAGAGCAGGACTTCTGGAGGGCCGTATGTGAGGCCGACCAGTCTCATGGCGGTCCCAGGTCTCTCAGTGACATAAAGGGTAGGCTTGCTTATTCTGCACTAGCCTCTTTCTCTACAGTTTTTGTAAGTCTTAGGTTATACAATTCTTATACAATTGAAAGATTTTAATGAAATAGAATTTGCCTTACTCTTTTTTGTTTCTTTTTTCTTTTCTTTTTTGGGACAGTCTCGCCCTGTCACCCAGGCTGGAGTGCAATGTAATGATCTCGGCTCACTGCAACCTCTGCCTTCTGGGTTCAAGTGATTCTCGTGCCTCTGCCTCCCAAGTAGCTGGGATTACAGGTGAATGCTTGAACCCAGGAGGCAGAGGTTGCAGTCAGCTGAGATTGTGCCACTGCACTCCAGCCTGGTGACAGAGTGACACCTTGTCTCAAAAAAAAAAGGCTCTAAAGGACATTATTGTACAAGTAGAGAACTTACATTAAAGTTGCTGAGAGTGACATCCGTATTGTTTACATAGGAGAAAGCAGTGCCCTTGTTCTTCAAAGGCACATGATGAAGTACTTAGGAATAAAATGTTATGTGTTCAAACTTATTCTCAAATAGTTCAGGGGAAAAATACATAAAAGTAATGTGAGGAAATATTAAGCTTTGTGAATATAGATGAGGAGTATATGGGTATTTGCTATACTATTCTGAACATTTTTTTTTTTTTTTGGAGATGGAGTTTTGCTCTTGTTGCCCAGGTTGGAGTGCAATGGCACGATCTCGGCTCACTGCAACCTCTGCCTCCTGGGCTCAAGTGATTCTCCTGCCTCAACCTCCTGAGTAGCTGGGATTACAGGCATGTGCCATCACGCCTGGCTAATTTTTTTTTTTTTGAGACAGAGTCTTCCTCTGTTGCCCAGGCTGGAGTGCAGTGGCACGATCTCGGCTCACTGCAACCTCCGCCTCCCGGGTTCACGCCATTCACCTGCCTCAGTCTCCCGAGTAGCTGGGACTACAGGCGCCCACCACTACACCCGGCCAATTTTTTGTATTTTTAGTAAAGACGGGGTTTCACTGTATTAGCCAGGATTGTCTCGATCTCCTGACCTCGTGATCCGCCTGCCTCGGCCTCCCAAAGTGCTGGGATTACAGGCGTGAGCTACTGCGCCCAGCCATGCCCGGCTAATTTTTTGTATTATTAGTAGAGACGGGGTTTCGCCATGTTGGCCAGGCTGGTCTCAAACTCTTGATGTCAGGTGATCCACCTGCCTCAGCCTCCCAAAGTGCTGGGATTATAGGTGTGAGCCACTGCGCCCAGCCATTCTGGGTAATTTCTTATCGGTCTTCTAGTTCACTGATTTTTCTCCGTAGTTATTTCTAATCTGTTGTTTAATGTGTCCCTTAAGATTTTCACTTAGTGATTATATATTTCATTTTGAGTTCTGTTTGATCCTTTTCCTCATTGTACCTCCTAATTTTTAAAATAATCTTTTGTTCCATAGTCATATTACAGTTCCCGCTTTGGTTTTTTTTTTTTTTTTTTTTTGAGGCAGGATCTTGCTCTGTCACCGAGGCTGGAGTGCAGTGGTGTGATCGCGGCTCACTGCAGCCTCCGCCCCCAGGCCTCAAGTGATCCTCCCACTTCAGTCTCCGATGTAGCTGGGACCACAGGCATGCACCACTACCTTTTTTTTTGTATTTTTAGTAGAGATGGTTCCTTACCATGTTGCCCAGGCTAGTCTCGAACTCCTGAACTCAAGCAATCTGCCCCACCTCGGCCTCCCAAAGGATTGGGATTACAGGCATTAGCCACTGCGCCCAGCATAGTTCCCTCTTTAACATGTCTTTAAACATGTTAAATATACTTATTTTTCTTTTGTGTCCAAAAATAGCAAAAACTGTTTCTTTGCTATGTTGTTTCTGCGTCTCCTGTTCATGGAGGCTTGCTACGTGTGTGTGTGAACACCAAGTTTTCTAGCATGTTCCTCTGAGAATTTATAAATGCTTCTGGCAGGCACATAGAGATACTACCATTAGGGGTAACTTTAAGCTTTTGGCCTGGACTTTTTTTTTTTTTTTTCTTGAGACAGAGTCTCCCTCTGTTGCCCAGGCTGGAGTGCCATGGCGCGATCTTGGCTCATTGCAACCTCCGCCTCTGGGGTTCAAGTGATTTCTCCTGCCTCAGCCTCCAGGGTAGCTGGGATTACAGGCTTGTACCACCATGCCCGCCTAATTTTTGTATTTTTAGTAGAGACAGGGTTTTACCGTGTCGCTCAGGTTGGTCTGGAACTCCTGACCTCAGGTAATCCACCCACCTTGGCCTCCCAAAGTGCTGGGATTATAGGTGTGAGACACCATGCCCGGCTGGCTTGGACTTTTAAAAAGCATAAACGTAGCTGAGCATCATGTCTCATTCCTGTAATCCCAACACTTTGGGAGGCTGAGACGGGAGGTTCATTTGAGCCAAGGAGTTCAAGACCATCCTGGGCAACAGAGTCAGACTTCATTTCTACACAATATAAACAAAAACTAGCTAGGCATGGTGGCACACACCTGTAGTCTCAGCTACTGGGTAGGCTGAGGTGGGAGGATCTCTTGAGCCTGGGAGATCAAGGCTGCAGTGAACCAAGATTGCACAACTGCACTCCAATCTAGGCAACAGAAAAAAAATCACAAATGCGAATTTATGTAAAAATAGAAACATAAAAAACAGAAGCACAGACTGTGACCCCAAACCTATGTAAGGGGCCAAGCTCTAGTTACTCTACTTGGTAGAGACTTTTCTTTTACCCAGAACTAAAATCTAGATGGGTAGAAGGGTAAATTTCCCTACATCCCGCCATTGTTCACCCTCCCATTTGTTTAGCAGTTTTCCTGAGGATGTTGTGTCTGGGAATCTTGGGTTTAAAATGTATCGATTTGTTCACTTCAGTTACTTTTAGGCAGCATTTTTTGGTACTGGGAGGAGTATTCAGGATATTGTTTGCCAGTTTATCCGTAAAATAAGGATAATGTAGGATCTACTTCGTAAGTTTTTTCTGAGGATTGAAATAGTGTGTGGAAAACACTTAAGATTATTGCCTATGGTTATTACACATTTAAATCGCTTCCTTAGAGTAGTGAGTAGCAGGTAAACTACTGCTATACTGCTACTCAGGAAATTGGGGTCAAGTACATTTCTTGTTTTGTCATGGAAGTTTTGGCCTAGAGTTTATCTCTTGGATGGGTTCCCTCTGAGAATATACAGCCCCACAAATTGCTATCTATAAGAAACATTAAAGAAAGCCAAACTTCTATATAAGACCCCATAAAGAGGATAAAAAGTTAAATTCAAGTTTGTTTTTGTTCATCCTGAGTCTCATTGTGTGGCCTAATACCTAGGTGCAGCTGACGAGATCATGTTGCCTTGTGAATTTTGTGAGGAGCTCTACCCAGAGGAACTGCTGATTGACCATCAGGTGTGTTATGAATTACTTGAGGACTTTTAGTAGGATTGTATGCAGGCCATAATTGGTGTTGCAGGCCACATGAGGCCTTGAACAAATCATTTTAATACAATGCCCATAGTAGGAATAGCAAGTGTTCTTTTCCATGATGTGAGTGGCATACAGATATGAAAACTTAGCCTTGTTCCTTCTTAGAAAAAGTGATGGCATCCTTTGTAGGGACATGGATGAAATTGGAAATCATCATTCTCAGTAAACTATCGCAAGGACAAAAAACCAAACACCACATGTTCTCACTCATAGATGGCAACTGAACAATGAGAACACATGGACACAGGAAGGGGAACATCACACTCTGGGGACTGTTGTGGGGTTGGGGGAGGGGGGAGGGATAGCATTAGGAGATATACCTAATGCTAAATGACGAGTTAATGGGTGCAGCACACCAGCATGGCACATGTATACATATGTAACTAACCTGCACATTGTGCACATGTACCCTAAAACTTAAAGTATAATAATAATAAAAAAAAGAAGAAGAAGAAGAAAAAAAAAAACAATAGTGAAATAACAGCAAAAAAAAAAAAAAAAAAAAAGTGATGGCAGTGATGTATGCCTGTAGTCCCAGCTACTCAGGAGGCTGAGGTGGGAGGATTGCTTGAGCCCATGAGTTTAAGGCCAGCCTGGGCAACATAGTGAGACCCCAGCTCTACCAAAAAAAAAGGGGGGGGCAGGGAATGATGCTCATTTCAGCAGACCTGGAAATCTCATGCTAGCAGCCCTTTCATGTGGTAGTGACTGGTGCACATATATCTCCACTATCCGTTTTGTGATCTGGTCTCATCTCATGCCACATTTTGATTTATTGGAGCTGTATTGAAGTCCTTGCATTTTTCTAGAAAGGTCAAGGGTGTTTTCTGCACATTACTTTATCTACCTGAAAGGTGTCTGGCCTTCTGCCCCTGTCTCCTTAACACATCCAACAACACAGACCCCTTACTTGTAGAGTTGGTTCAGATGTGACTTTATGGAAGCCATCCTGATAGGTACTATGAAGGCTAGGTCAGGAACCACACCTGTGTGCTTCTAAAAGTCTGTGCCCACCTCTCTTATAGTTTGTCACTTTATGATGTGGTCTTCTGATCTCCTGTTGGTCTGCACCACTAGGCTGATTTCCCTGAGGGCAGGTTCTGGGTTTTCCCAGTTTCGGAATCTCTAAATACTTGGTATCTGAAAAGGTGTCAGTTATTTGAATGATTGACTATTCTTGAGCCATTTAGGAATGATGAGCAAATAGCTTTATGTGTTTGAGGATTACCTGATGGAGGGAACTTCTGTTTTTTTTTTTTTTTTTTTTTTTTTTTTTTGAGATGGAGTCTCACTCTGTCGCCTAGGCTGGAGCGCAGTGACGCGATCGGGGCTCACTGCAACCTCTGCCTCCGGGGTTCCGGCTGTTCTCCTGCCTTAGCCTCCAGGGTAGCTGGGACTACAGGCACACACCACCATGCCTGGCTAATTTTGTATTTTTCGTAGAGACAGGGTTTCACCATGTTGGCTAGGCTGGTCTCAAACTCCTAACCTCGTGACCTGCCCACTTCAGCCTCCCAAAGTGCTGAGATTACAGGCGTGAGCCTCCACGTCTGGCCAGGAGGGAACTTCTTGTTCCCTCAATACTCTGATTTGGTTTGGCCTAGTCTGGCATTTCCACAACTACCAAATAGTGCCTGTGCTCTGGATGGTGGAACATACTTTCCCCCATAAATGAAATAATATATTATTTGAATACATGTAGTTTTTGTTTTGGGAGTACCATAGAAAATCCATTAACAAAGATAATAAAGAATATTTGTGCCTCTCTTTTACTGTATGGATGTGGTGGGAAGAACCTTGAATCTTTTCAAATTAATTTAAAAAGAATGAACACACTTAAAAAAAACCATAAAAATATTTAAAAGTAAAATGAGTGTTCTATGTGTATTCCTCTTTTTTGTTCCTCTTTCCAATATTAAGCATTTAAAAAAATTTTTTTTTTTTTTTTTGAGACGGAGTCTCGCTCTGTGACCCAGGCTGGAGTGCAGTGGTGCGATCTCGGCTCACTGCAACCTCTGCCTCTCAGGTTCAAGCAATTCTCTGCCTCAGCCTCCCAGGTAGCTGGGATTATAGCCAAGTGCCACCACGCCCGGCTAATTTTTGTATTTTTAGTAGAGATGGGGTTTCACTGTCTTGGCCAGGCTGGTCTTGAACTGCTGACCTCGTGATCCACCTGCCTCGGCCTCCCAAAGTGCTGGGATTACAGGCGTGAGCCACCGCGCCCGGCCAAGCATTGTTAAAATTATATGACTTCTTCTAGAAAATATTTTAGGAATGTAGTTTTTTTCTTAACCTCTGATTCTTGTTTTTAACCTATATTTTTTGAATGACAGACAAGCTGTAACCCTTCACGTGCCTTACCTTCACTCAATACTGGCAGCTCTTCCCCCAGAGGGGTGGAGGAACCTGATGTCATCTTCCAGAACTTCTTGCAACAGGCTGCAAGTAACCAGTTAGACTCTTTGATGGGCCTGAGCAATTCACACCCTGTGGAGGAGAGCATCATTATCCCATGTGAATTCTGTGGGGTACAGCTGGAAGAGGAGGTGCTGTTCCATCACCAGGTAAGGGTCCCTGGAGTCCCTGTCCATGTGGCTCTGTGCGTGAACCTGAGGCTTCCAGAGCTGAGAACACTTCCTTAGCCTTTAAGTTGCATTCCATCCTGACAAGGAATGCACACACTTGGCTTCTGGCCAAGTCATCTTTGTGAGCTGTCTGTGGTAACCAATACCGCAGGCTTTCAGACTTTCCCTCCCTTTGGGCAACTGAAGCCATCTTGTTACTAGCTGAGGACCAAAGAGCCAGGACTCTATTTGAGCAGGTGTGGAAGGAAGCCTTGTCAGAGAGTTTAGATGACAGTCTCCCTGCTTTTCACCAGGTGGGTTTTTCCCATTGTGGTGGCATTTGAGACTTGCATTCTAGGAGACCTGAGGGTCTACTTCTGGTTTTGTCCTGTGGATGACCCTTACTGGGGCCATCTGTGAGGGAGTTGGACTAGACAATATGAAGTCATTTTTCAGCATTTACAGTATAGGATTCCAATCTATTAGTGGAAAATATGTTTTCTGCCCAATCGTATATGTTACAGGGAGTGAGAGTCAACACTGCAGCTACCATTTCTGTAGTTGATGCCATGTAGCTGTTACTAGAACATTGTACATTTCATTTCTGTAATAAAGACTCCTGCTTTTCAGAGGCCAGGCATGGTGGCTTATGCCTGTGATCCCAGCACTTTGGGAGGCTGAGGCGGGCAGATCACTTGAGGTCAAAAGTTTGAGACTAGCCTGGCCAACATGGTGAAACCCCATCTCTACCAAAAATACAAAAATTAGCTGGATGTGGTGGCGGGCACCTGTAATCCCAGCTACTCGGGAGGCTGAGGCATGAGAATCACTTGAACCTGGGAGGCAGAGGTTGCAGTGAGCCGAGATCACACCACTGCACTCCAGCCTGGGTGACAGAGCGAGACTCTGTCTCAAAAAAAAAAGAGAAAGAAAGAAAAAAAAAGACTTTTGCTTTGGGATCAAACAGTAGATAAGTGACTGCTTACCCTCTAGGGCAGACTGAAATAAGCAACGACACAAATAAATACTCTGGTGAGAGTATAGAAATGCTTTTCAGCTGCTCTGAAGGTAGTGAGTTATCTCAGTTGATTGTTCACAGTCAGTTACAGATTGAACTCCTTGTTCTACTCTTTTCCCCGTTCTCACTATTGCACTTGAATAGTCTTAAAAAACAGAAAAAAAAAAGAAATAAATGTTTTTCTGGGCTCCAAGATCAGCCCTTCCCGCATCCCTGCACAAATCAGAAAGTGTTTCTGTCAGTGCCTCATGTGCCGATGGGATTGAATGCAACCATTCCAGATGTGTGGTTTCTGAAAGTTCCCAGAACTTTCAGAGGTTGTCAAAGTCCCCCTCCAGATGAGGAATACACTGCTGTTCCTCCCATCGCATGCTCTTTTCTGGGAATGACTCAATTCAGAGGTACTAATTCTGGTTTTTCTTGTTTAGGACCAGTGTGACCAACGCCCAGCCACTGCAACCAACCATGTGACAGAGGGGATTCCTAGACTGGATTCCCAGCCTCAAGAGACCTCACCAGAGCTGCCCAGGAGGCGTGTCAGACACCAGGGTATTTATTAGCCAGGACTCAGCCAAGGCCGCAGGTCTACTGCTGGCTCCGGCCTGTTTACCACTTCCCATCCACTGCTCTAATGTGGGGATTACCTGCATCTCAAATTTCCAAACACACTAGGGTCTCATAGGGGACTCCTCTGCAGGTAGTTGTGGTCCCACATTAGACTGAGCTCTCTCAAGTGTGTGATTTTTAGGGTAATGGCTTTGCGGACATCCATGAGATACATGTAGTAGTAAGTGCTTGTAATAAGTTTCTGGTTTCCTATCTGTGCACTTAGTGGATTATTTGTAGATAATTTGCAGACCTTATGGTAGCTACCCTGGGCCCCCATTTCAAGTTGAAATACACTTAGGGTACTCAAACCTATTATTATTATTTAATTTTTTTGTAGAGACAGAGTCTTGCTCTGTCACCCAGGCTGGAGTACAGTGGCACAATCATAGCTTACCACAGCCTCAAACTCCTGGGCTCAAGTGATCCTCTCTCCTCAGCCTCCCAAGTAGCTGGAACTACAGGCACACTCTACTACACCCAACTAATTTTTTTGTTTTTGTAGAGATAGGGTCTTGCTATGTTGCCCAGGGTGATTTCGAACTCTTGGCCTCAAGTAGTCCTCCTGCCTTGGACTCCCAAAGCATTGGGGTTACATGCGTAGGCCACTGTGACCGACCTCAAACTTATTTATTTAATTTATTTTTTTTAGACAGGGTCTCTTTGTCATCCAGGCTGGAGTGCAGTGGCGTGATCACTGCAGTCTCAACCTCTTGAGCTCAAGTGATTCTCCCACTCTTAGCCTCCTGAGTAGCTGGGACTATAGGTAGGCTAGGTGCCCACCAACACACCCAGCTAATTTTTAATTTTTTTTTGTAGAGTTGGGGTTTCGCCACATTGTCCAGGCTGATCTTGAACTCCTGGGCTCAAGTGTTCCTCCCAGCTCGGCCTCCCAAAGTGTTGGGATTACAGGTGTGAGCCATCACACCCAGCCTCAAACTTATTATTATTACTTAAGACCATCATGTTTAGGCAAGTAAACTGTTTTTGAAACCTCACCACTACAAAGCCAATTAGAAATTATTTTTTGGCTGGGCATGGTGACTCACACCTGTAATCCCAGCACTTTGGGAGGCTGAGGTGGGCGGATCACAAGGTTGGGAGTTCAAGACCAGCCTGGCTGACATCATGAAACCCCGTCTCTACTAAAAATACAAAAATTAGCCGGGCGTGGTGGCGGGCGCCAGTAGTCCCAGCTACTTGGGAGGCTGAGGCAGGAGAATCACTTGAATCCAGGAGGCAGAGGCTGCAGTGAGCCAAAATCATGCCATTGCACTCCAGTCTGGGCGACAGAGCAAGACTCCATCTCAAAAAAAAAATTATTTTTCAAGGTTTGCTTGCACACTATTGTTGAATAGTTAGGAGGCTGTCTTTGAGGACTCAGATAATATGTGCAGAATTGATAAAATATCCCCATCTCTGCCCTGGAGATGTGGGTTCCAGCAGCCTTTTGGGGTGAGCAGTTGTCTTTTTTTTTTTTGAGACACAGTCTTGCTCTGTCTTGTCCAGGCTGGAGTGCAGTGGCATGATCTTGGCTCACTGCAGTCTTCACCTCCTGGGTTTAAGTGATTCTCCTGGTCTCAGCCTCCTGAGTAGCTGAGACTATAGCTGTGTGCCACCTCACCTGGCTAATTTTGTATTTTTTTTTTAGTAGAGATGGAATTTCACCATGTTGGCCAGGCTGGTCTCTAACTCTTGACCTCAGGTGATCCCCGCACCTCGGCCTCCCAAAGTGCTGGGTTTACAGGCATGAGCCACCACGCCTGGCTGAGCAGTTGTCTTCTATCTGGAATCTTTTTGTTCCTGCCCTAAACCTGGCACTATAGCCAGAGCAGGCTTTTTCCTAAAGCTGTTACCATTTTCTCTTCTCAGGAGACCTGTCTTCTGGTTACCTGGATGATACTAAGCAGGAAACAGCTAATGGGCCCACCTCCTGTCTGCCTCCCAGCCGACCCATTAACAATATGACAGCTACCTATAACCAGCTATCGAGATCAACATCAGGCCCCAGACCTGGGTGCCAGCCCAGCTCTCCTTGTGTGCCGAAGCTCAGCAACTCAGACAGCCAGGACATCCAGGGGCGGAATCGAGACAGCCAGAATGGGGCCATAGCCCCTGGGCACGTTTCAGTGATTCGCCCTCCTCAAAATCTCTACCCAGAAAACATTGTGCCCTCTTTCTCCCCTGGGCCTTCAGGGAGATACGGAGCTAGGTAAGAATCAGTAGCCCAGGAATGGGGCTTGGGAGTAGCTGAAGCGAACATGGGCAAAGGCCTGGTTACCCTTGCCAGGCCTGGGGTAAGACTGAGGTACTTGCATGGTAAGGGGAGGAGTATGGATTTTCCCTGTATTGTCACCTGACTCCAAAAAAATTATTTTGTGGCCTATGGGTTTTTTGGGGTTTGTCTGCTAGCATAGGACTGCTTCCTGTTCCCTCTGAGTTTGTTGACCTTTGCTCAGGGACACTTCAGGAGCTAGTTTCTAATTGTTTTCTTTCAGTGGTAGGAGTGAAGGTGGCAGGAATTCCCGGGTCACCCCTGCAGCTGCCAACTACCGCAGCAGAACTGCAAAGGTAAGGTGGGCTCCAGCCCATGATGCTCAGTGGGGGACTCAGACATGGTGGGGCTTGTGTGGCTCCTGAAGTTGTAGAAGTTGTTGGGACCAGGCTGGTTGTGGTTCAAAGATTGTTCCTTTGGCTTTTGAGAAGGAGGTTTCTAAGGAAGCGGGACATTTTCGGGGATCCAGGGGAGGAGTAATGCTTTTTCACTTTTTATGTAAAGCTTCGTTTGTGTTGTGTTGTTCACCAGGCAAAGCCTTCCAAGCAACAGGGAGCTGGGGATGCAGAAGAGGAAGAGGAGGAGTAATGGTGTCTCCAGAGACTTTACATCGGTTCCTGTCTTCTGTGCACAGCAGCACTTGCCGCTGTGCAGGCCCACCTCTTTGGCTCTTTGGGTGGGAGAGTTTTTCCAGATTTTAGATTTTTCTAGGTTATGGCCATTTTGTGTCTTTTGAGGTTGTGCTGTGGGGGTTTGGGTTTGAGGGAAGGGAGCAGGGTGGCGGTTGAGGAACGCTTCAGCCTTAGCTGCTACCTTTCGGCAGCAGTGAAATACAAGCTGCAGCCTCGGCTGCCAGGGCTCCCTTTTGACTTATTGTCGCCACTGCCCCTTGGTGCTGTGTGGTCCCAGTGGAAGGAGGGGAAGATTTTGGAAACCTGGTAGCCACCAGTAAGGTGATTCTCTGCCCTGTTGGGGCCTAAATTTGGGGGCTTTTGGGCAACCTCTCCGTGTACTGCGTCTGTCCACACTCGATTGGGCCCCAGGTGTGTATGAGGCGCTCTGGTAAGGTGCTCAGGCCAGTTGCAATGTCTGTCAGTAACGAGGCTTTTGATGTGTTGAGCTGGAGGTGAGTGGACCGGGGGCTGTGTTTTAAGCTGCTTCCTTGGCATTTGGCATCACTGCCTTCTGTTCCCGGGGGAGCATGGATCTTTTGTCCTCACTGCTTTCTAATGGGGAGGGCTGAGGGCTCCCTGTCCCCACAGCAGGTATGTTGGGCTCTGCCCCAGCCCCACACTTGCTCTGAAAACCAAGTGTCAGAGCCCCTTCCCCTTGTTTTTATTTTACTGTTATAATAATTATTAACTTCCTTGTAATAGAAATAAAGTTTGTACTTGGAGTTCAGCTCAGTCTTGTGGTTCCTTCTCCTGTGTGCTTTAGAGACTGCAGGGAGGGCAGGGTAGGCTGGAGTCAGCCCTGGGGTTGGAGGAGGTGAGCAGGGCTGGGCTTTCTCCGGCACTCCAGTAACCCTCGCAGCTCCACCATGAGTCCCTTCTTGGAGTACACAGACATTGAACGTGTAGTGTTTTAAATTGGACTTCTGAGAAAACTGACAGGCTTGCTGCAGCTCCGGTGATGACTGGGGCTAGAAGGGGTGCCTCTGACTGAATAGAGAAAAGCAGATTCTTCAAAAGCCTTCATCCTGAGAGGAGTTGAGCCCTAGCAGGATTAGCTGTTACCCCTCAGTGCCTCCGTCTGCATAGGACCACTGAGCACCGTAGGTCATTTTGAGTTCCTTTGTTCTTCCAACAACCTGTTGGGGTGGGAAAGGTGGGAGGAACTGCCCTATTTCATAGATGGAACACTAGACACGGGAACCATGCGGCCAGTTCTTTGCAGAGGCAGGTCTCTGAAAAGAATTATCCTGAGAGAAAAAAGCTTCGTCTGCATGCACTCGCGCACACACACAAACGATACATAGTAGGGTTAGATCTTTTAGTGTATGTCAGTTATATCTCAGTAAAACAAAATCACCTTAGCTCAGTGAGACTTTCATGTGTTGTTGCGTGAAAGAAACTGGAGGGACTCGGACTTGCATGGCTTCTGCTGTCATTGAAATCTCCCTGGAACTTCAAAAAGTTGGGAGGAAGGATCCAGGGCAGCTCTAAGTCCTCTCCCCAGCTGGGCCAGGGAACAGTCATGTTGCCCTTAACTGTCTGTTGGAGTGTGGGGATAGACCTGCCAGAAAGTCAAACTCTCCCCACTCTGCCTTTGGTTGGATTAGACATTGAGTAAAATAGTAGGAGGTTGGTTGGTTTTACACTGTTTTTTTGAGACAAAGTCTTGCTCTGTTGCCCGGGCGGGAGTGCAGCGGTGCGATCTTGGCTCACTGCAACCTCCACCTCCCAGGTTCAAGTGATTCTTCTGCCTCAGCCTCCTGCGTAGCTGGGATTACAGGTGTGCGTCACCATGCCCAGCTAATTTTTGTATTTTTAGTAGAGACCGGGATTCACCATGTTGGTCGGCTGGTCTCAAACTGCTGACCTCGTGATCTGCCCACCTCGGCCTCCCACAGTGCTGGGATTACAGGCGTGAGCCACTGTGACCCGCCAACAATGGGGTTTTCTAAATATACAGTTATGTCATCTGCAAACAGAGACAATATGATTTCCTCTCTTCCTACTTGAATACCCTTTATTTATCTTGCCTGACTGCCCTGACCAGAACTTCCAACACTATGTTGAATAGGAGTGGTGAGAGAGGGCATCCTTGTCTTGTGCCGGTTTTCAAAGGGAATGCTTCCAGTTTTTGCCCATTCAGTATGATATTGGCTGTGGGTTTGTCATAAATAACTCTTATTATTTTGAGATGAGTTCCATCAATACCTAATCTATTGAGAGTTTTTAGCATGAAGGGGTGCTGAATTTTATCAAAGGCCTTTTCTGCATCTATTGAGATAATCATGTGTTTTTTGTCATTGGTCTATTTATATGATGGATTACATTTATTGATTTGAGTATGTTGAACCAGCTTTGCATCCCTGGGATGAAGCCGACTGGTGGATAAGCTTTTTGATGTGCTGCTGGATTCAGTTTGCCAGTATTTTTTTTTTTTTTTTTTTTTTTGAGACAGAGTCTCGCTCTGTTGCCCAGGCTGGAGTGCAGTGGCATGATCTCAGCTCACTGCAAGCTCTGCCTCCCGGGTTCATGCCATTCTCCTGCCTCAGCCTCCCGAGTAGTTGGGACTACAGGCGCACGCCCGGCTAATTTTTTTGTATTTTTAATAGAGCCAGGGTTTCACTGTGTTAGCCAGTATGGTCTCGATCTCCTGACCTTGTGATCCACCCACCTTGGCCTCCCAAAGTGCTGGGATTACAGGCGTGAGCCACCGTGCCCGGCCAGTTTACCAGTATTTTATTGAGGATTTTCACATCGATGTTCATCAGGGGTATTGGCCTGAAATGTTCTTTTTTTGTTGTGTCTCTGTCAGGTTTTGGTATTAGAATGATGCTGGCCTCATAAAATGAGTTAGGGAGGAGTCCCTCTTTTTCTATTATTTGGAATAGTTTCAGAAGGAATGGTACCAGCTCCTCTTTCTACCTTTAGTAGAATTTGACTCTGAATCCATCTGGTCTTGGGTTTTTTTCGGTTGGTAGGCTATTAATTACTGCCTCAATTTCAGAACTTGTTATTGGTCTATTCAAGGATTCGACTTCTTCCTGGTTTAGTCTTGGAAGGGTGTTATGTGTCCAGGAATTTATCAATTTCTTCTAGATTTTCTAGTTTATTTGCATAGAGATGTTTATAGTATTCTCTGATGGTAGTTTGTATTTCTGTGGGATCAGTGGTAATATCCCCTTTATCATTTTTTATTGTGTCTATTTGATTTTTCTCTCTTCTCTATTAGTCTGGCTAGTGGTGTATTTTGTTAATCTTTTCACAAAATGAGGTCCTGGATTCATTGATTTTTTGAAGGGGTTTTCCTGTCTCTATCTCCTTCAGTTTTGCCTGATCTTAGTTCTTTCTTGTCTTCTGCTAGCTTTTGAATTTGTTTGCTTTTGCTTCTCTAGTTCTTTTCGTGATGTTAGGGTGTTGATTTTAGATCTTTCCTGCTTTCTCCTGTGGGCATGTAGTGTTATAAATTTCCCTCTCAACACTGCTTTAGCTGTGTCCCAGAGATTCTAGTACGTTGTGTCTTTGTTCTCATTGGTTTCAAAGAACTTATGTATTTCTGCCTTAATTTCATTATTTACCCAGTAGTCATTCAAGAGCAGGTTGTTCAGTTTCCATGTAGTTGTGCAGTTTTTGAGTGAGTTTCTTAAACCTGAGTTCTAATTTGATTGCACTGTGGTCTGAGAGACTACTTGTTATAATTTCCATTCTTTTGCATTTGCAGAGGAGTGTTTTACTTCCAATTATGTGGTCAATTTTAGAATAAATGTGATGTGGTGCTGAGAAGAATGTATATTCTGTTGATTTGGGGTGGAGAGTTCTGTAGATGTCTATTAGGTCCACATGGTCCAGAGCTGAGTTCAAGTCCTGAATATCCTTGCTAATTTTCTGTCTCATTGATCTAACATGGACAGTGGGATGTTAAAGTCTCCCACTATTATTGTGTGGGAGTCTAAGCCTCTTTGTAGGCCTCTAAGAACTTACTTTATGAGTCTGGGTGCTCCTGTATTGGGTGCATATATATTTAGGATAGTGAGCTCTTCTTGTTGCATTGATCCCTTTACTATTATGTAATGCCCTTGTCTTTTTTGATCTTTGCTGGTTTAAAGTCTGTTGTATCAGAGACTAGGATTGCAACCCCTGCTTTTTTTTGCATTCCATTTGCTTCATAAACATTCTTCTATCTCTTTATTTTGAGCCTATGTGTGTCTTTGCACGTGAGGTGT